>NW_025791792.1:300000-434831 GCF_000001405.40 Homo sapiens
GACCTGGCTGGGGCGACCACCGATGTGGACCAGAAACTGGGCAGCACCCACCTGGTGGCTGCCAGCTCTTGGGAGGGTGAAGCCAGCATGGCCCAGCACCACCCCGAGGACACCTTCCAGAACATAAGCCCCCATGGCAAGCCGGCTCCTGCTTGTGCAGAGCCTGAGGCAGCTGGGCTGAGGCCTGCCCTATCCCATTGGACGGGGCAGGGGAGTGACGGCGGGAGCTCAGGGCCTGGGAACCCCAGGGCTCTTTTTTGTCCTGGTTTGCAGAAGAGGCTGGTGCCACATGTGTAGCAGGTGCCCACTGCCTGCCCCGCGTGCCCCCAGTGCCTAGGGCTCCTCCTCTCTCCATTCTCCCCTGCTGGGTGGAGTAGAGCCACCCTGGATAACTCCTGAGGACAGGGGAGTGTGTGCAAACCCCCAACCAGAACACCTGCTGTGCCAGCTCCCCGTGTCCCTAAAAAGGGCGTGACGCTGGGGGACTGTGGAGATAGGGGAAGCTCCAGGCTGGGTGGGTTGAGGCAGCAGCCTTGGAGGAACAGTCTCTTCTGTGGGAACCTGCTGACTGGACAGGGGAAAGCAGGTAGGTGACTTGTCACCAACGACGCCCCAGCTTGCAGGTTCCCCTGAGCAGAGGCTGGGATGGGCACTGTAGCTGGCTTCCACTCACTGTTCTGAGCTGGGGTAGCCCTGGATGTTCCCGCTGCAGGACAGCCCCGGGGAGGCGGAAGGGCTGCACCACTTCTCTGCAGACTCTTCTGCCACCTGCTGCCTCTCCTCCTCCCTGTGGCTCTCCCAGGGATTTTGTGCCTTACTCTCTGCTTTCTCCAGGGCCTGGCCAAAGGAGGAGGTGCTGGGGATTCCATCAGTACCCTCCCACCTCTCCCAGAGGAGGTAAAGGCAGGAAAGTCTCTGGACAGGTGCAGAGAACCGACAGCTATGTCAGCAATTCCCCAGGAAGCTTCCCAGGACCTCCCCAGGCGGAGCAGGTAGTGTGGATGTCCCTACACACCCCACTGTGGATGCCAGGCCTAGCAGGGACCGAGGCTCCAGGGATTTCAGAACCACCCAGGCTCTGGGGGTGAGTGATAAGTGAGGGGTGTTGGGGTTCAGTGGACCCTTTGTAGGTCCCAGCACTCTTTGGGCCCTGGGGAGGCACCCCTACCCCCAGGCATCTCCAAAGGCGCCTTCCCAGTATCCCTGCTCCCTGACTCGGGGGTTTCTGGGGCAGCGCCTGCAGTTCACCTGTTACTCACAGTGAAATCCCAGACTTGAAAAAAGGCGTGTGTACCAGGACATGTGCCTGCCCCATGCCACCTGGGAGACCCTGCAAGCGCTTATGGCCACAGTCACAGACGCACTTCTGCCCGCCACCTCCATGACCCCTGGACTCCCCGCCAGGGCGGGGGCCGCCACCCCACCCACTTGCAGTGCAGTCGCCCGGCCAAGGGTCCAAGGCCGACTGCGGGCCGCTGCTTAAAGGGCCAGGCCCCTCTCTCATCCCTTGCCGCTTGCCCCCCAACATCGTGAGCAGCGCAGCTGGAGTGGGGGAAGAGGAGCGGCAGGGGGAGGTGGGCTTCACAGCAGTCCTGGGACCCCAGCACAGCCTGTCCTGCCACTGTTTCTCTCCCGCTTCCCGCAAACCTGCCCTGCTGTGGGGAGGACAGAGGCTTGGTCCTCACATTCCGGCCTCTACTGTCCCTGCAAATGGACCAAGGAGCTGTGTTGCCTGTGCCGCGGGATCCTGGAACATCCCTTCTCCTGGGTGAGGGGCAGCACCCCTGCCCCCCCCAATATATTCTTTCCCACTCTCCCTGGTTCTTCGCAGAGCCAGCCCAGAGCAGGGGCTGTGCCCACCACAGGGTGGGAGGGAGCCTGAGGGCAGAGCCCGTGGGCCTGCCTGGGTGTCGCCATGAGCCCACTGTATACCACGGGGCCTGGGACTCCTTGGCAGCTGCACTTCTGGAGAAAAGGGGACACAGCCTCAACCTTGCAGGGCAGATGTCAGCACAGAAAGGCAGTTCTGAGGGTGGCATGACCAGGCCCTGGGAGTGCCCTCCTGGCAAATCCTAGCACAGGCCCGGCCCCTCCCATGCCCATACTCATCCACGCCCACCTGCACACCCATGCTGTCCCACCCACCAGTGCTGGGTGAGGGCCCCAGCCCCCCAAACCGTCCCACTCTGGCCTCGAGGGAGACAGGCCCTTCCAGGCTTGGGACTTTCCTGGGATCTGCCTGCAGGTAGGGAGGTGCCACTCTGGGACCTTTCTCAGCCTCCAAGAAGAGTCTCCTGACTCCCATTCCTGGCTAGGGCAGCAAACTGGCCTTTGGGAGGGGTCCTGTTACACCTGGTGAGCTGTAAAAAGCCCCAAACTACTCTCTCCCCGCCCCCCACCAGTTCAGTCCTCAAACTGGACCTAGGGGAACAGGGTTGGATCAGAGTGCGTCATTCTGTGGCTTCTGGTTCTGAGAGTTCACACATATGCACACAAATCCCAAATCTCACCCAGACAAGCACAGGCGGGTACATACACAAATATACCTCCATGTATATACATGCATATACACGTGCACACACGTACATGCACATATGCGCACACACAGGCATGCATATGCCCATACATGCACACATGTACATGCACACACATACATGCATGCACATGCACACACACACATACATGCACACACATGCTCACGTACACACTCGCAGAGGCAGATGCTGGTCACCAGACGCCCAGAGCCATGCACAGACGCACAGACACCCTCTGACCATGGCCACCCAGCAGTGCAGGGTGCTGGTCTCACCCACAGAGAGGTGGGGAGGGAGCCTGGCCTCAATGCTCTTGCCCAGGACACTGGACCACCCTCAAGCCTCCCAGGTGCCCTTTAGGTCCCAGGACATGCCATGTCGGGAGGTCGGCCTGGCCAAAGCGGCTGCCACCCCTTCATCCCCCACAGTCGCCCTCAGGCTGGGTGAAGGTCCCTGCTTCCACTGGATGCAGGGCCAAGGGCCTGGCTTGGCTGCCTACTCCTCACCCCACCGTGCCTGCACCCCACAGTCCCCCATATCCTCTGCTTGCCTGGAACAGCCCCTGGTAGCAGAGGCCAGGCAGAAGGAGCCTGGACAAAGACCCCAGACCTGGATGGGGGAGGGTGCACATCCCTGGGACAGGCCAGCTCCGTCCGGCTCTGGGACCTGGGCCGACCCCAGGAGGTGGATTCTACAGACACGCCCTCAGCCACAGCCCAAGGAAAGAAAGAACCCTCTGGGACCACGAGTGTGTGAGTGTATATGAGTGTGTATCAGCGTGTGTAGGGGGGCGGCTTCCCTGCCTCCAGGGCTTGGGGCCAGTTGCCCAGGCTGCTTTTGGGCCACAGGGATCCCTGGGGGCTGTCTGCTGGGACCCAGGCAGCAGCCTTGGTGCCAGGCTGTTGCCAGGCAACCTGCACTCAGCTGGGCTTTCGGAGGTGGGGGGACTTCCTCGGGACCCCACGGCTCCAACTGAGTTTCCAGAGGATGGGGCCTCTGCCTCCGGCTTCTGACAGGAGCTCCGGGAGTGGGAGGGGCTCCCAGCCTGCATGCCTTGCCCTACACCTCTGGAGCCCAGCTGTACTGTGAGGTTTCCTTCTGTGTTGAGGATAGTCATATTGGTGGGTCCTGAAGTGTGGGCGTCCTGGGGAGAGGATGGTGGGGCCTCAAGAACCACAGATGTATGGAGATCCCCCCGTGCCCAGCGGACACCTCCCTGATGCCCCAGCCCCAGCCCCAGCCCCACTGCTGGCGGAGCAAGTGCCTCGGGGAGGCGTGGGTCATGGACTCACCAGTGAGGATGGCCACGCTGTCGAAGCAGCCGTCCAGCTTGCTCAGCAGGATGGAGAGGAAGCTGTCTGCGGCCAGCACGCTGGCGTCCCGCGTGCTCTGGTCATAGACCACCACGTCCTGTGGCTCCGTAGCCTCCACCTGGGGGCCATGGGGCAGAGATCAGCATGCCGCCTCCACCTATCGATGCCCTGGCCCCGTCCCAGATATGCTGGCTCAAGGGAATAGTAAGGGCATCAGATGATGGGAGGCAGGCAGCTGTCACCTTGCTGCCTGGAGGGGAGGGCAGGTGCAGTCACACACTCTCCTCCATCTGCCAGAGGCCCAGATGCACACACCCACACCACACAGCAAGCCATGGGGGCAGGGAGGGGTGGACTCCTGCCCTGCGCAGCTGTGCCCCCATGCCATGCACATGGGTGAAGGGGACGGACGCTCTGGGCCAGGCCTGTGTGGAGGAGACACAGGTGAGTGCGATGGGAGCCCAGGATAGGACCTGGCTGGCTCCCAGGGTGGCGGAGGGACAGAGAAGCTCGGCCCTGAAACGCATGCCTTCGGGTGTGGGCTCTCAGTGGGGCTAACTGTGTAGCCAGCAATTCTGCTCCCCACCCTATCCCCTCCCCAACCCCCAGCGGAGAAACAGAGGGCTGCAGCAGGACCCCAGGCCCCTGCACCAATTCCGGAGGCAGCAGCTGGAAGCTGGGTTCCTCCTGCCCTCCTCCCCCACCCCAAGGGCCAGCCCAGATGTTGAGCGGCTTTTGCTCAGACAGCACCGGTGCCCCCGCCCTGCAAGCACACACTCAGCCCTTAAGCCAGCTGAGCCGCCAACCCTGGGCTGGGTGACGTCACCGGCAGCCAATGGGATCGCACTCTGCCGGGAGTCCTTGCTGGGGGTCATTAATCACCAGATTCCCCTTGTTGGAAACCAAAGGGAGCCGATTCTGGCCTTGGGGTGGGCGGACTCCTGGCCAGTGGCCATCCCACTTGAGTCCTCCCATGTCCCAGCTCTGAACAGGGCCTATCAGTGACCCAGACCCCTCTCAAAGCCTCCAGGGCCAAGAGCTTGTCACCCTTGTCCCCTGCGAGGCAGTAGAAGGAGGAGGTGCCGCCACCTTCACAGGTCAACAGCCCCGCTGGTCCCTCCCCAGCTGCACCTGATGGTCCTGGGCAGAATGAGCTGTCCTTCCCCAGAAGGACATTCCTGGGGGGCCACAGAGAGAATTCTGGGTCCCTGAATACTCTGCGGGCTGGGGGAAGCTGTGGGACGGGGACATGGACTGCTCACGTGTGCCTTTTGACCACCCCTCCTGTCCTCACAGCAGTGGAAGTGGACCACACAGCTGTCCCTGTCCCGTGTAGGCCAGCTGGGCTGCTCCCACTGCCATGTGGTCACACCTTGCTATTCCACTCACTGCTCCCCTCTGTGAGCCTGGGTTGGCCCTGGCCACACAGTCCTATCTGCGTGGGGAGGGCCCGGCACCTCTGTGCAGAAGCTGAGCAAGGAGGCCCTGGAGGGAGGGTAGGGAAGGGTGCTGCGGGCGGGGGTGCGGGGGATGCCCTGAGCAGGGGCAACAGGCAGCGGTGAGAGGCAAGTGCCAGGGAGGACTGCTCCACACGCCCCTGGCTGTGACCCCAAGGAGTCGAGTTTGGACTGGAAGGCAGAGGAGGGGGGTGCTGCCCGAGCTGAGGGCCCCTTAGCTGTGGACCCTGGACGTGATGCATGCCTGGTGGGCAGTGGGCTGGGTACCTGGCTGCGTGCAGCCGGCTGGATGAGCTCCGCAATGGTCACCTTGCCCTGCTGCAGCCGCCGCTTCACCAGCTTGGAGCAGCAGATGTTGACGGAGCTGAGCACATGCCAGCTGTTGTACTCCACGAAGGAGCGGCTGTCGATGACCAGCGGCCCCCCAGGCCCGCCCCGCAGCAGGCTGGCCAGCTTCTTGGCATCCATCACCTTCCTCGGGAGCCGGTCCCCAGCCATGGTGGGGCAATGGGTGCTGGGGAGGGTGACCCCTGAAGTGAGGAGGGGCTGCTCCGACGGCCCAGGTGTGGCCTCGCGCTGGGAGTGACCTAGCACATGGTGCTGGACCTGCAGGGACAGGGGGATGGTCAGCAGTGCTGCGGGCCCCTGGGTGGCACCCAGAAGCTCCCCAGGACAGATCAGAGCTGGGAGCTGCGCCCACCAGGACACACCAACATGTGCCCGTGGGAACCCTTCTCCCTCTGGAGAGACCCCGTCCAGGTCACAAGGCCAGCTCTCAGCAGGATGCAACAAGGCAGAGGGGGGCAAATGGGCCCCACAGAGAAGGGTCTGAGGGCTGGAAGAGGCCAGGGGTCCTTCCTGTGGGCCCTGGGGTTCACGGACCCTTAGGCATTCCAGAACATTCCATCTCATCCCTGGGACACAGGCATCTCCCTGCTGTGACTTCTGCATCTTTTCCACCACAGGACCCCCAGCAAGTCGGGGTCTGGACTGCACCTCACCCTCCCACATGGTCAAGCTCTCTGCCCTCCTCCGGGCTTGCTGTCCTCACACCTGCCCCTCTCTCCCTAGCACAGCCCCAGGGAGTCCAATCCCTGGAGACTTGACTCCAGGGCAGCTCCGTAAGCCGATAATCCAGCCCCTGGTGGATGGTGGCCTTGGGGCTGCCTCCACTGGAGAGTGGGCTCCCGGGGGCAGCCGGATAGCAGGCGGGTGCGGGAGGGGCTCAGGCACAGAGGCACGGCTCCTTTGCCACTGCTGCCCTCCTGACCTGCAGGCTGAGGTTTAGTGTGCGCCACGTGCCTGCTGGGGGTGAGTGCCCAGCTCCTGCAGGGGCGTGTTGCACCCACACAGTGCCTCTCCCCTAGCGGAGCCTGGGGTCTAGGAGGCTCCTTCATGGGCTGATAGGGCCCAGGATGGGAGGGGCGGGGCAGCCCTGGGAGGAGGGTCAGTGTCGGGGACCCCGCAGGTGCCAGGCCCTCGGCATGGCCTGCAAAGGCCTCAGACTGCCGGGTGGGCAGGTGGAGTAGGGATGTCTGAGGATGGAGTCTCCGGAAGCCCCTCCTGCAGGCTTGATGACAAGCCTGTCACTGCCCCACTGCCGGGCCCCATCTCCCTGTCACCTGCCAGGACTGGCCTTCCTCTGGGTCCACTTTACACTCACAGCCCCTAGGAGGCGCATAGTGTTAAGGATGATGAGTTTGCTTTAACTATGGGGAAACCGAGGCTTGGGGCAGGGTTGGGACCTGGGTCACACCTGGGTCACACACAGATGGGCACTGGGTGTCCCTGCAATGCCATCTTCCCTGTGCCCCCACAGCTGCCAGGCAGTCAGGAAGTTTACTCCACCCAGCTCAGGACTGAGGGAAGGCTGGGAGATAGATGTACCCTGGGCCCTGCGCCCTGTGCAAAGCGGGCTACGGTGGGTAGCGGGCCCTCAGCAAGCCAGACCCCCAACCCACAGCCACAGGAGGCACTGGGGGGAGGCGCCCTGAGGACACCCATGCACTGCAAACAGCAGGCTGGGGACAGAGGCCACCACCGTTTCTGGACTCTCCAGGTCAGCTCCCAGGCCGGCGGGGGCCAGTGAGAGAGTTCACAGAGCAGCAGGTGCAAGGCTGGTGTGGACCTCGTCCCTGGCCCAGCCCCAACTCCACACTGAGGGGCAGGTCCCAGCTCCTCCCTGCCCAGGAGCCCCAGCCTCGCACTCACTCTCCTTCTCCAGACACTTCAAGCTTGGCCCCTGCCTGGCCCCTCCCGCCTCGACTGGGCCCAGGCTTCTGTGCATTCCCACCATCCCTCCTGTTGCCAGAGGCCAGGGAAACACCTGACTGTGGATGGGCAGCCTCAGCTGACCCCACGGCTGACACCAGGGATTGCAGTGGCACCTGGTCAGCAGGGCCTCAGGATCCCACTCAGATAACGTTCCTGGGCTGGTGCTCCAGCCTCCACCACAGGGTGGGGAACGAGGCCTGGGAGTCCTCTCCAGGGCCAGACCCAGCAAGTTCAACAGCAAAAGGGCCTGCTGCCTGCCTGCTGTGGAGGGTCTCTGCCTGCCAAGGGGGTCCCTGACTACCCACAGGGGGTCCTTGATGAGCTGTTTGTCCTTCCCGAGTTCTACCTGAGCCTTGCACAGGTGGTGAGAGGCGAGGGCCCAGATGTGTGGTTCTGGTGAGACAGCGGCTCCAGGTGCCCCGTAGGATACCCAAGGGTCCAGCTCAGAGACCCAGAACCCCGAGAAGGCTGCAGTGGCAGGGACACTTGGGCTGGGGGTCTTTTGAGGAGCTGCCCCGGCCTCAATGTCCTCATCCGTTAAGTGGGGGTGGATTCTCTCTCACTGAAAACAACAGAAGCAAATACCCCCCAGTGCAGGGAGGAGGGCAGGTGTGAGGAGAGGCCCTCGCCCTCTCTGCAGCCAGGGCCTAGCCTTCATGCAGCCCTGAGTCCTGACACTGCCATGAGAGACCTCGGTGCAGCCAGCCAGATCTGAGACCCAGAGGGAGGGGAGGGAGGAGGGCAAGTCCAGCTGCAGGGTGGTGGGCAGGGGCTGGAGGGGCGGGAGGACGGGTCCTGGCCTTTACCTGGCCCTGCTCTGCCTCCTAAGCAACGCTGAGCTGGAGCTGGGCCTATCACCCACAATAGTATTGTTATTTGCAGCCGAAGGGGATTCATTAGCAAGTTAGCACCTCCATCGTCACCATGGCAACAGCAGAGGTGCCAGGCAACCGCTGCTCCTGCGGCAGCCACCACCATGGAGCAGGCTCCTCTGCAGAGTGGGCACGCGCCCCTCCCTGCTCTCTCCTACCCACCCCAGCAGGTGCCCGGCAGTGCAGAGCCCAGTCCTCAGCCCCTCCGCTCCTCTGCCCTACCTGGTCCTAACCTTCCTTCCCACTCCAGGTACCTGCTGTGCCCAGCATGCTCCCTGCAGCTCGCCGGCTCCCCGCCCCCTCAGAGGCCTTCTCTGTACTGCGAAGGGCTGGCCGAGTGCCCCCTCCTGCAGGAAGCCTCTGTGCCATGCTGGCCTCTGGGAGAGCATCCTCACCCACAGGGTCTCCCTGGACCTACAGCTCCCAGGGGGACATGTTCCTCACCTCTGTCTCCCCAGATGCTAAGGATCGGGGCTCAGCTATGCCAGGGATGGGGCAGGTTGGGTGGGGTGGGGAGCAGAGACACTAAGGACAGTCTGGTGCAGATCAGTGGGGCCAGCACTGGCCATGTGGGAACAGAGGTAAGGAAATGTGGATGGTGTTGGTTCCATGCCTCTCCTTTCACGGCCCCACATGCCAAGCCCTCCTGAGTACCTGTGGCCCTGCTATTCCAGTGCCTAGGGGTTGGGGGGTGAGAGGCAGGGCTGGGGACAGGATGCCCCCTAGCACAGCCCCATACACCCTTTTCAAAAGTCTTTGAGCCCAGGAGGAAGCAGTTTCCAAGTCCAAAGTCAGAAGAAGGCTCCTCCCAGGCCCACACCTTCCAGGAGGCACCAGGCCGCCACCCTCCCCTGGGACACAGCACGCCTGGCTCCAGTGCTGCGTGCACACTGCCCTCTGTGCGTGCCAGAACACACCTCTTTGCACACCCACTCCACACACAGGGCTGGTGCTCCTTACCCACAATCCACCTGCCCTGTGTGCAAGTACCCACGCGTGAATATGTGCACACGCGTGGGCTGGACATACACTAGAGTACACGCACGTCCTTGCCCTCTGTATGCAGGATCCCCTGAGAACCCCAGGACTCCAGTACCCGAGGGGTCAGCTTCAGACTCCTTACAAACACGAGCTCCCACACCCAGCGTCTCTGTGCAGCACATTCCTGTCCCTGAGCACAGACGGGACCAGGGAGTCCCAGGCCACCCCCAGCTCTCAACTGACAGCATCCTTACCATGTTACCTTCTGCTCAGCACCTAGAAATGGGGACTCACTACCTTCAGAGACAGCTGCCAGGACTGTCAAGCATGGGGGGATGGGACTGTGTCTCCCCCTCACACCTAGGCAGGCTCTTGGAGCTGTCCGGCTCACTGTTACCCAGGGATGCTTCTGGAGGCAGAAATCGTCACACTAAGGAGGCTGAGGAGAGACTGGTGGGTGGCAACTCTGGGAGGCAGGGACCCTGCACTCACACAGGTCAGCTCATCTTCCCTCACTGGGCTCCCCCAGATGCCCTCATCCCTGCCTCCCCTCAGCTCCCTTGGCTAGTGCTGTAGGACCCAAGCTGGCCTACACTCTGCTCCGCTGGCCTGGGGAAGCTGTGGACCTGGGAGAAAGTGGGGTGGGGCGGGGGGCTCCCTCCGATCCCAGGAACGGGGTCCGGGCAGGGCAGGGGATGGGAGGACTTGGCACAAGGGGCCGTGACAGTCGAGTCTCAGAGCCGGACATATCCAGGTTCCCTCCCTTCCCACCAGACCTGTGTCCCTCCTCCTGGTCACTGTGCCACATGCTAAACATCAGGACCAGTGTGGCGCTTCCAAGGTTCACTGCCCTGAGCAACTCCGGCAGAGGGGGCCTCAGCGGGTGCAGTTCTCATGGCCAGAGTCCAACCACCTCTCTCTCACTGTGGGTCTGCCCCTTTCCCTGCCTTCTGCAAGAAGTGACACCTAGGTCTCCCCAGGCCCTAGCTGATGCCCCTTCGAGGCACCTGTCCAGTGGCAGCCTCTAGGCCCTGACTTCAGCCCCAGCCTGAGAAGAGAAGGGTCCTGGAGCAGAGACTGACTCTAAGCGTCTTTCTGCACCTCTGTTAATGGGACTTTATTCCCAGAAGCCTCCCCGAGGACAGAGGATACCAGGGGAATAGAACCTGCCCAGCCACACTCGTGCAGCCCCCGGCTGGCTGCAGCAGGAGGTATTTCAGCGAGACTTCAGGATGAACTTCCAGCTGGGGTCACATGATCTGCCATCCGCATCCAGTGCTTATTAGCAGTGAATGCATGGGACTGTCCTCCTGGTGGAGGGCTGGGGCCTGGGGTGCTACATTCACCCCTGGACCGCCCTAGGTGCAACAGTGTCTCTGGGTGGGCTGTGCCAGAAGGGAGGCAAGGGAGAGTGCCGGGGTTTGGATCTCCCCTCAGACCCCCCGCTGGGGCACAAAAGGAGCTTCCCTGGCCTGCAGCACCCCACCCCCACCCCAAGCTGCACAGCAAGAGCACTGCGGAGCCACGCTACATCCTGCCACCCCCTCCTCCATCCCACAGTGTCCCCGCCCCCCATCACTGCAGCACCAGAGCCCCTATTCCCCTCAGCAGAGGCCGGTACACCCCGCAGCAGGGAGACGGAGGCAGATTCTCCCAGAAGGGGTGACCCTGTTGGGGCTGGGCCTATTGTTGCCCCCTCCCCTCCAGGCCAGACTATTAGGTATCCCCACCTGGTCTGCTCCGCATCCCAGGCTGGGCAGCTGGGCCTAGCGAGGTGGCTGCAGCAGCCTGGCTGTGCCAGCCCCTCCCCCAGCGCCGCGGCTGCCTCTGCAGCAGGCGGAAGGGCGCGGGGGCTTTATCCCTCAGGGGCCGGCTGGGCACCCCGGGATGGGGAGGCAGTGCGGCCTGGACACTGGGGGGATGGATCTGCAGCCCTCCCCCCCGACAGGGGAAGGCCCCTTCCCGGGTGTCCCAGGCCAGAGGCCGTCGCGTCCCTCCCACGGCCGAGGCTCCACACCTCCCGGACCGACTCCGGGCCAGGGTCCGCCTGCTCCGGTTCTGGCCCCCGCGGGGGTGACGTTCGGGACGTCGGGGGCTCGCGCAGATCCGCGCTGGATCTCAGGCGGCCCTGGTGGGTCCTGGATTTTTGTCCCCCCCCCATTCCACACCCAAAGAAGGAGCTGCGGGGAGAAGGGCGGCAACGCGGCGGGCGGGCGTGGGCTGGGCCCGGGTCCGCCGGGCGTTGCGGGGGGCGGGGAAGGGGCCTCCCTGTCCCTGGCGTCCTGGACGGCCGTGGCCGCTCATTCCGGGGCCGCCTCCTCCTCCCGGGCGCCCACCGGGTGCCGCTGCCCCAGCGCCCCCGACGCGGCGCCCTCCGCCCCCCGGCCCGGGCCGGTGAACCCCATCCCCGGCGCCCGCCCCCGCCCCGCCGGCGCCTCCGCTCACCTCGCTCGCGCTCGCCTCGGGGGCGCTCCGGGGACCCGCGCCGCGCTCAGGGCGCCCGCTCGGCCGCGCCGTCCATGGGCCCGGCGGGGGCCCGCGCAGCCGGGGCAGGGGCCGGGGGAGCGCGCGGGCCGCGTCGCCGTCGCCGCCGTCGCCGCCGCCAACGCCGCGGGGAGCGCTCGCTCGGGCCGGGGCGCGCGCACTGCGGGCGGGCACGCGCGCTCGCGGCGCGCATCCCAGCCCCGCGGCTCGGCGGGCGCGGCCGGGAGGTTCCGGCGCGGCTCGGGCTCGGGCTCGGGCTCGGGCTCGGGCGTCCGGCGTCCGGCGGGGCGTCGTGGGGGGAGCCGGCTCGGCCGCCGCGCTCGGCCGCGAGTGACAGGCCCGGGGCGGAGGGCGGGGCCGCCGGCGGGGATGAGGTCATGCCGAGCGAAAAAAGCCCCTGACGTCACCTGCAGCCAATCAGCGCGCGCGGCTCGGGGGCAGGTGACGTCAGCGGAGCCCGGGCTCGGGGTGAAGCTGAGGCGGCTGCCGCGGGGGGGGGGCGGGGTGCAGGGTGCGGGTGGGTCGCGCCGCCGCCGCCTTCCGCCCTCACCCCGGGACCGGCTCTTAAAGGGACCACGCGGCGTCCGGGACCCCGCCTCCAGGAAGCCCTCCCGGCCCCGGGCCCCGCGTCACCCAGGCCCCCCGTCACCCGGGCCCCCGGCCGCGTCGCACAGACCCCGGACGGTCCAGCTGAGCGGCTCCGGGCGCGAAGTCCTCCCCCCGACCCGGACAGGCGCCGGCGCCGCTCCCCCCTTCTCCTGGCCTTTGTTGGCGCTGGGCCGCCGCCGGGGAGCCCTCCCCAGACCCAGGCGCGGCGTTTTACCTGCAGCGGCTGTGCTCGCCCCGCCGCGACCCCCGCAGGACGGAGCCGGATCCCCCTGCACTCGGGCGGACCTGGGACCCTCAGAGGCGAGCCGGCTGCCTCGGGTCACACATCCGCGAACTCCGGGGGCGGGCTCCCCAGGACGCCGCCGACCCCCCACGACCCCCAGCCCTCCCGCTTCCGTGGAAAGCCGCCCCGACGACCCCTGTGCGGGCTGTTGAGGGGCCGCACCCCGCCGACCGCTGTGGGAACACCTCCGCGCGTGCGGCGGGGACGCGGCGAGTCCGGGGCAGGAAGAACGCACGGGTAATTGCACCTTCGGCAGGTGTTGGGCGGGAGCAAGGGGGTCAGACTCGCGCTGCAGGGGGAGGGCGGGGGAGGCCTCGCTGTCCTGGAGGAAGGGGACAAAGACCCCTGCCCAGGAGCCTGGGAGCCTTTGAAAGTAATGATTTTTTGGCGGGGGGGGGTTGTCACGAGACACCCTAGACATTTCTAAAAGGCCCCCTCCCCGCTGCCGGGTGGAGAGGGAGCGTGGGGGGATCCGCCTTCTGCCCCCGAGCCCCCAGCCAGCCTGGGCCCCCCAGGGTCACCCTGGGGCTCTGAAGGGGGCTTCGGCCGCTGGTTGAATGAAGGGCCACAGAAAATGAAGCTGGCGCAACGACCGCAGAACCCTCAGTGGGCACCAGGACCACGGAGCTCAGGGTGCCAATGGTGATGGCTGGGGGTGGGGAGTACTGTGGGCAGCAGGGGATGCTGAGCGGGGTTTGGGGCTCCCCCTTTCCATACTCAGTCTTCCTGCCAGCCTCAGAGCTGAGTACACCGTTGGCGATTAATAAGCGCTTGCAGCTCCCTTCCCTGGCCAGCCTGAGGGGAGCGGCAGTGGCCCGTATGGGGTGGGGGTGGCGGTGGAGTGCGTCCTGGCGCAGAGCTGGCACACAGCACAAACAAACGCCTTGGCGGGAGTGGGTCTGTCCCGGAAGGGAGCCCAGGGGTTATTGGGGTTGGGGCTGCGCCCCAAAGCGGGAGGGCCCTGCGAGAAGGGAGGCCCTGGCTGGAGGGGGACCCTGAGACTGGAGGTGCCGGACCCGGATGCGGGGCCAGGTGAGTAGGGCTGCCTGCTGCAGCCTTGCTGGGTTTGAAAAGTGGGGGAGGCTTGGCCCTGGGAGGGGGCAGGAGGATTCAGGCTGAGACCCGGAGGGGGCGAAGGAGGTCCTTGAGGAGGCAGTCACAGGCCTGAAAGGACCTGGGACCCGCAGGCATGGGAGCTGTTAGCCGTTAGATAGAGGGGCTGTCGCCTGGGGGGAAGCCTCACCTGGCTTGTTCCCCCTGCCAGGCCTAGGTGAGCCCGATGGGCGTGTCTTCTGCCCAGCTGGGATGTGGCCAGCATCTGCCTGTGGCCTGGGAGTGCCCATTGTCCCCTAAGAGCTCTGGTTATACCCTGGGCAGCTACTGGCCAGGCTGGAGCAGGTGGCAGGCAGCGACCTTTAGTCCCTCCTGGAGGCTCCCAGGGGGCGGTTTGGAGGGGAATACGGCTCCCCTGGAGGGCCTGGGCTGTCCCTGGGGGGCAGAGTGCCCTGGGCGGCGATTGTTATAATCCCCGTAGCCATTTTCATGCAAATAAGCACTGAGAGCGTTAGGTTCTGCCCCTAACCAGGCTGGCGGACTAGGGAGGTGGCACCCTGGGGAGGACGGTGGTTTTTCTGCAGCCCCGCCTTAGTTCCACGTTGCCTTTGCACCCAGCAGAGGCCGGCCTGGGCGGTGGGCTCAGGGGCCTGGGTGCCCGACCAGGTCGGCTCGGCTCAGCTCAGCTCGGCGGCCGCACCGCCTCCCGGCACAGGTGTGGACGGGGGTGGGAGGCGCGACCAGGGAGGGGGCTGCGGTGTCAGTCCCGGCCCGGGCCTGTAGACGCCGCCTCGGGGGTCTCTGGGGCTCGGGAGGACCTTGCGAGGGGCCGGGGAGGCGCCAAGGCCGCGGCGAGGGACGTGCGGGGGTCCAGCAGCCTGGGGCGGGGACGCGCGCTCCGGGCCGTGCAGGTGGGGGTCCGAGCGGGGCCGGCCCGGCGGTTCGCGCGCGCCCTCTGCCGTCCGCAGGCCGTGGCGCAGGCTCGGCCGCCTGAAGCTCCTCTCGCCTCCGGGAGGACGTCCAAGGTCGTTTCTTAAAGCATCCCTATTGCGCAGAAGGAACAGTGGGGTTCACTTTTCTCGCTAATGTGCATATAATCGTTGCAACTAATTATGTGTAGCAAACCTCCATGCCACTATTTCCCCAACTTTTTTAAGTCAAGGCATAGCTAACTCAATACAATGCCCATCCCAGCTGTTCAAGTAGACTTTTTCTCCCGTTATTTCTTTAAAAACCGTATGATTTTTTCTTGTGGTAAAATGCATGCAGGAACATACGGTGTGCCATATTAACTATTTTTAAGTGAATTTGGCAGCATTAAGTACATTCACTTTCTGTGTAACCGTCACCACCACCCATCTCTGGAGCTTTTCGTCTTGGAAAACTGGAACTCTACTCTGTCCTCATTAGACACCAACTTCCCAACCCCCTCCCCAGCCCTTGGCACCCATTATTCAAGTAGATTTTTTTTTTTTTTTGACGGAGTCTCATTCTTGTCGCCCAGGCTGGAGTGGAGTGGTACGATCTCAGCTCACTGCAACCTCCATCTCCTGGGTTCAAGCGATTCTCCTGCCTCAGCCTCCCAAGTAGCTGGGATTACAGGCGGCCACTACCATGCCCAGCTAATTTTGTGTGTTTAGTAGAGATGGGGTTTCACCATGTTGGCCAGGATGGTCTCGAACTCCTGACCTCAGGTGATCCTCCCGTCTTGGCCTCCCAAAGTGCTGGGATTACAGGCGTGAGCCACTGCACCCAGCCAGTAGATGGGTTTTGACAACTGTATATGTAGTTTTATCACCATCAAAATGAGACCTAGAAACTTTATTATCCCAGAAGTTCCCTGGTGCCCTGTCCTCACCCTCTGACCTGTCACCGTGAGTTACTGCTATCTGTTCGTACACTTTATAAAAATGGAAACAATGGAAACAAACAATGAGAGGACTTTTGCCCCTGGCATCTTTCACTCAAGGAAATACTTTTTTTTTTTTCCAGACAGAGTCTCTTTGTTCCCCCAGGTTGGAGTGGAGTGGCGCGATCTCAGCTCGCTGCAACCTCCGACTCCCGGTTTCAAGCGATTCGCCAGCCTCAGCCTCCTGAGTAGCTGGGATTACAGGCGCCCGCCACCACGCCCATCTAAATTTTGTATTTTTTAGTAGAGATTGGGTTTCACCACGTTGGCCAGGCTCGTCTCGAACTCCTGACCTCAGGTGATCTGCCCACCTTGGCCTCCCAAAGTGCTGGGATTACAGGCGTGAACCACCTTGCTTGGCCTTAAGGAAATACTTTTGAGATTCGTCCACATTGCTGCTTTCCCACAACCTGATGATAACGTCTGTGTGGTTCTGTATTTCATGGGTGTATGGCAAGAGTGGAACCAATTCTTTATTTTTTACATATTAGATTATTTTCATATTTGGGCTATAAAAAACTGCAGCAGGCCGGGCACGGTGGCTCATGCCTGTAATCCCAGCACTTTGGGAGGCCGAGGCGGGTGGATCATGAGGTCAGGAGATCGTGACCATCCTGGCTAATGTGATGAAACTCTGTCTCTACTAAAAATCCAAAAAATTAGCTGGGCGTGGTGGCGGGCGCCTGTAGTCCCAGCTACTTGGGAAGCTGAGGCAGGAGAATTGCTTGAACCCGGGAGGCGGAACTTGCAGTGAGCCGAGATCGCACCACTGCACTCCAGCCTGGGTGACAGAGCGAGACTCCATCTCAAACAAAAAACAAAAAAGAAAACAAACAAAAAAACTGCAGCAGACAGCATCCTATTGTATATGCTTAAAAAAAGAGATATGGGATCCCTCTATTTTATCCAGGCTGGACTGAACTCTTCCTGGGCCCAAGTGATCCTCCTGCTTCAGGCTTCCCGTAGCTGAGATTATAGGCACGTGCCACCACACCCAACTCTTACATGTTTGTAACACACTTCTCAGATTATTTTTCTTTCTTCCCTCTCTCTCTTTCTCCATTTCCTTCATTCCTTCCTTCTGTCCTTCTGTCCTTCCTGTCTTCCTTTTCTTTCTTGACAGGATCTCACTCTGTCACCCAGGCCAGAGGGCACTGGTGGAAATATAGCTCACAGCAGTCTCAACCTCCTGAGCTCAAGGGATCCTCCCATCACAGCCTCCTGAGTAGCTGGCACTACAGGCATGTGCCAGCATCTCCAGCTAATTAAAAAAATTTTTTTTGGCCAGGTGTGGTGGTGCGTGCCTGTAATCCTAGCTACTCGGGAGGCTGAGACACCAGAATCGCTTGAACCCAGGATGCGGAGCTTGCAGTGAGCCAAGATCGTGGCACTGTACTCCAGCCTGGGCAACGGAATGAAACTCCATCTCAGAAAAAAAAAATTTTTTTTGTAGAGATGAAGTCTCACTATGTTACCGAGGCTGGTCGCAAATTCCTGGGCTCAAGCAATCCTCCTCTCTTGGCCTTCAGCCTTCCAAAATGCTGGGATTACAGGATTATTTTCTTTCCTAGTTTTTTTTTTTTTTTTTTTGGATGGCATCTCGCTCTGTTGCCCAGGCTGGAGTACACTGGTGCGATCTCAGCTCACTGCAACCTCCACCTCCTGGGTTCAAGCGATTCTCCTGCCTCAGCCTCCTGAGTAGCTGGGATTACAGGCGCCTGCCATCATGCCCTGCTAATTTTTGTAGTTTTAGTAGAGACAGGGTTTCACCATGTTGGCCAGGCTGGTCTCGAACTCCTGACCTCAGGTGATCTGCCCGCCTCGGTCTCCCAAAGTGCTGGGATGACAGGCGTGAGCCACAGCGCCCCCTGCCCCCAACTCCCATGTCCCCAGATATTGCAAAGTTGCCCTGAGTGGAGAATTCTAATAACTTGCCAGCAGGCTAGAAGAACTCCATTTAAAACCCTTGCCAGGGCTGGGCATGGTGGCTAACACCTGTAATCCCAGCACTTTGGGAGGTTGAGGTGGGCGGATCACCTGAGGTCAGGAGCTTGAGACCAGCGTGGCCAACATGGTGAAACCCCATCTCTACTAAAAAATACAAAAATTAGCCGGGTGTGGTGGTGGGCACCTGTAATCCCAGCTGCTTAGGAGGCTGAAGCAGGAGAATCCCTTGAACCCGGGAGGTGGAGGTTGCGGTGAGCTGTGATTGTGCCATTGCACTCTAGCTTGGGCAACAAGGGCAAAACTCTGTCTCAAAATAAAATAAAATAAAACCCTTGCCAACACTTGGGATTTTATGCATTTTGATTATAGCTGCATTACTTGATGGGTTGACTAGGAGGACACTGGAGTGTCTTCTCACACAGACTCCATATTTAGTTTGAAGACGTCCTTCTATATTGCCTTATAATCTTCCCCAGGGAGGCCTTACAGTCTTCCCATTGCGTATATTACTCCTGAGCTTATGATTTCGGTTGCTTTGTGAAAGGTTATAAAAACCACAATTTCTGATGTGTTGTTGCCTGTCATGGGCTGGCTGTCGATCACCCTCTCTGACTTCTCTTACTCCTCCAAGCAGGCCGCCTGTAGGTTCACTTGGATTTCCCAGGTAGATGGCCCTATCATCTATGAATCTGCACTTTCGTTTCTTTCCAAACCTCACATTGCTTGTTTCTTGTCATATTGCATGGGCTGGCATCACCATTATAATGCTAAGTGGACATGGTGATGGTGGGAGTCTTAGCTTCCATTCCCCAGAAAGTAGCCAGATGCAAAGCTCAGTGTACACATTTTCTGGAAGGGAGGAACACACCGAGCCAGGGAGGAGGTGAAGCTGAGGCAAGGCTGCTTCTTACTCAGCTGCTGTGGCTTTTTGGAAGTTGCAGCTCAGCTGGCCACGTCTGCACACCCTCTCCCACGAGACCATACAGCGATGCTCCACCTCAGAATGGTCCACAGGGAGGAGGAAGGGAGAATAGTTTCTCTGCAAGCTCCTTCCTGTCTTCTGCTCTCATAGGTCAGAGTTGCTCTCCCGAGGAATTAAGTTCCCTGCATCTTCAGGTGGTGTTACTGGCCCCTCTTGGCAGCTGCTGGGCAGGCCAGAGTGTCTGAGGGTTTGGGGAAGCTGGCACATTGTGTGGAGTGAGAGAGAGGTTCATTAAAATTCCCAATTATTCCTATACATTCCCAATTATAGTCCCAATTGTATTTGTGGATTTATCTATTTCTTATTTTAGTTTTGTCAATGTTTGCTTTATATGTTTTAAAGCTCAGTTATTTGGCACATAGAAGTTTAGGATTGTTTTCTGTTTGGTTGCATGAACTCTCCTATCATCATGAAATGTTATCTCTTCTAATAATGGTTTTGTTTCAAAGTCCACATTGTCTGATCTTACTATCATTATACTAGGTTTTTGAAAACATTAATGTTTGCCTAATATATCTTTTTTTTTATTCTTTTGCTTTCTATCTTCCTGGATCTTGATATTTAGGGTTTGTTTTTTCTAAACAACATGCATCTTATTTAACTTCTCTCTGTTTTTTTTTCTTTCCTTTTTTTTTTGAGACAGAGTCTCACTCCGTCACCCAGGCTGGAGTGCAATGGTGCAATCTCGAGTCACTGCAGCCTCTGCCTCCCAGATTCAAGCGATTCTTGTGCCTCAGCCTCCCAAGTAGCTGGAATTATAGGCACGGGCCACCACACCTGGCTAATTTTTTGTACTTTTAGTAGAGACGAGGTTTCACCATGTTGGCCAGGCTGGTCTCAAACTCCTGACCTCAAGTGATCAGCCTGCCTTGGCCTCCCAAAGAGCTGGGATTACAGGCATGAGCCACCGTACCTGGCCTAATTTCTGTCTTCTGTTAGCTTCCGGGTTATGTATTCATTATCCTTTAATGGCTACCTTAGAGATGGTTATATTTATTTATTTATTTTTTTGAGATGGGGTCTCACTCTGTTATCCAAGCTGGAGTGCAGTGGCATAATCATGGCTCACTGCAGACTTGACCTCCCAGGCTCAGGTGATTCTCCCACCTCAGCCTCCTGAGTAGCTAGGACTATAGGCACCTGCCAACACACCCGGCTAATTTGTGTATTTTTGGTAGAGATGGAGTTTTGCCATGTTGCCCAGGCTGGTTTTGAATTCCTGGTCTTGAGCAATCCATCTGCCTTGGCTTCCCGAAGTGCTGGGACTACAGGCGTGAGCTTCTGCACCCATCCAGAGATTATGATAACATATTATCAGTTAATAATCTCGTGTCTTCATAAACAAGGCAAGAACCTTACAACTATTTAATTCTGTTTATCCCTCTCCTGACTTCTGTGCTGTTGTCATATATTTTACTTCCACAAAGTTTAAAAATTTTATAGGACATTGAATATTGTTTTATTTATTTATTTAGAGACGGAGTCTTGCTCTGTTGCCCAGGCTGGAGTGCAATGGTGCAATCTTGGCTCACTACAACCTCTGCCTCCCAGGTTCAAGCAATTCTCTTGTCTCAGCCTCCGAAGTAGCTGGGATTACAGGTGCCCACCACCATGCCCAGCTACTTTTTTTTTTGTTTTTTTTTTGAGATAGAGTCTTGCTCTTGTTGCCCAGGCTGGAGTGCAGTGGTGCGATCTCGGCGCACTGCAACCTCCACATCCCGGGTTCAAGCGATTCTCCTGCTTCACCCTCCTGAGTAGCTGGGACTACAGGCGCATGCCACTACACCCGGCTAATATTTTGTATTTTTAGTTGAGACAGGATTTTACCATGTTGGCCAGGCTGGTCTCGATTTCCTGACCTGTGATCTGCCTGCCTCGGCCTCCCAAAGTGCTGAGATTACAGGCGTGAGCCACTGTGCCCAGCCCTTGGCTACTTTTTATATTTTTAGTACAGACAGGGTTTCATCATGTCGGCCAGTCTGGTCTTGAACTCCTGACCTTGTGATACACTCACCTCGGCCTCGCAAAGTGCTGGGATTACAGGCGTGAGCCACCGTGCCTGGCCCTTGGCTACTTTTTATATTTTTAGTAGAGATGGGGTTTCACCATGTTGGCCAGTCTGGTCTCGAACTCCTGACCTCAGGTGATCCGCCCTCCTCGGCCTCCCAAAGCACTGGGATTACAAGCGTGAGCCACTGTGCCTGGCCCAATCATAGTTATTTTAAAGCCCTTGTTTCCTAACTCCAATATGTGGCTTATCTGTAATCTGCTTCTTCTGTTAGCTTTCCGCATGATTATTGATCACTGTTTCCTGCTGTGTCCTGTATCTCGTGCTTTCTGTCAGAGGTATGCCTCAAAGGACCGTGGGGGTCCATATCTAGGGACCGTGGGGGGTCCATATGTCGGGACCGTGGGGGTGTCTATATCTCGGGACCGTGGGGGTCCATATCTAAGGACCGTGGGGGTCCATATCTTGGGACCATGGGGGGTCTATATGTCAGGACCGTGGGGGTCTATATCTAAGGACCGTGGGGTTCTGTATCTCAGGACCGTGGGGGTCCATATCTAGGGACCGTGGGGGTCCATATCTAGGGACCGTGGGGGGTCCATATGTCGGGACCGTGGGGGTGTCTATATCTCGGGACCGTGGGGGTCCATATCTAAGGACTGTGGGGGTCCATATCTTGGGACCATGGGGGGTCTATATGTCAGGACCGTGGGGGTCTATATCTAAGGACCGTGGGGTTCTGTATCTCAGGACCGTGGGGGTCTGTATCTAGGGACCGTGGGGATCTGTATCTAGGGACCGTGCGGATCTGTATCTAGGGACTGTGGGAGTCTATATCTAAGGACCGTGGGGTCTATATCTAGGGACCGTGGGGGTCCATATCTCAGGACCGTGGGGATCTGTATCTCAGGACCGTGGGGGTCTGTATCTCGGGACCGTGGGAGTCTATATCTAGGGACTGTGGGAGTCTATATCTAAGGACCGTGGCGTCCATATCTAGGGACCATGGGGGTCCATATGTCGGGACCGTGGGGGGTCTATATCTCGGGACCGTGGGGGTCCATATCTAAGGACCATATGTCGGGACCGTGGGGTTCTGTATCTCAGGACCGTGGGGGTCTGTATCTAGGGACCGTAGGGATCTGTGTCTAGGGACCGTGGGGGTCTATATCTAGGGACTGTGGGAGTCTATATCTAAGGACTGTGGCGGTCTGTATCTCGGGACCGTGGGGGTCTATATCTCAGGACCGTGGGGCTCCATATCTCAGGACCATGGGGGTCTGTATCTAAGGACCGTGGAGGTCTATATCTCGGGACCGTGGGGGTCTCCATCTAAGGACTGTGGGGGTCTAGCTGCTCTCTTCCAACAGTGAGCACGTGGCCTCCCTCTCTAGTGCAGACAGGGAGAGGAGCTGAACATTTCGTCTACCCGCTCAGTTAGGGATTGGGCCACTTCAGTCAATCGTCCCTCTGTGTGGCTTTCCTGGAGTTTTGGTTAAGAGCCTGGCCAGTCCGTGTCTTCTTATCCCTGACAGGCTGTCAGAGAGTCACTTCTTTCCCTGAGGTACAGGCTTAGCTCTTTAGTTGTCTGCTCAGGCAGCTTCAAAATTTGGAAAATGTCTTAAGGGCCAGATTAACCTGTGCCTGGGGCAGGACCCCTTCCTCTAGAAAAGCTCTGTGTACTAAGCTCCACAAGGCTATGCGAGACTTCAGCGCACCTGCGGAGGCCTCAGGCCTCACTTCTTAGCCTCCCCAGAAATTTGCAAATGTCCCAGTTTTCTGCTCCAGCCCCTGTGGTTGCCAAGAGCCCTGCTGGGTATTTCTCCCAGTAGAATTCCTCTTCCCCAGTGGGACCGAGGCTCAGCTCATACCCAGCACTGGTTAATTCCTTAAAGGGAGAGAAGCCGACATTCAGCTCATCTTGGAAGGGCTCTCTCTGAATGTTTTCATCTGGTTCTTGTTGCTTCTACAGTTCTCCAATGTCTTTTTTATAGATACATTTTTCCGGTATTTCAAAATTGTGGGCCGGATGCAGTGGCTGACGCCTATAATCCCAGCACTTTGGGAGGGTGAGGCAGGTAGATCACTTGAGGTCAGGAGTTTGAGACCAGCCTGGCCAACATGGTGAAACCCCATCTCTACTAAAAATACAAACAAAACAAAATTAGCTGGGCATGGTGGCTCATGCCTGTAGTCCCAGAAACTCAGGAGGCTGAGGCAGGAGAATAGCTTGAACCCAGGAGGCAGAGGTTGCAGTGAGTGGAGATCACACTACTGCACTCCAGCCTGGGCAACAGAGTGAGACTCCATCTCAGAAAAAAAAAATTGTGGTAAGATACATACGGTAGGATTTCCTGAAGTTATTTATTTATTTATTTATTTATTTATTTATTTATTTATTTTACCATCTGAGTTCTGTAATTAATGTGGCCTTCTCTGGTTGCTGCAATGGGATTGCTGACCTTCCATATACATCCCCTCTGGAATGTCATATTTGCATTCTTCTGGCTTTTTTTGTTTGTTTTTTGTTTTTTTTGAGACGGAATCTTGCTCTGTAGCCCAGGCTGGAGTGCAGTGGCGCGATCTCGGCTCACTGCAGCCTCCGCCTCCCGGGTTCACACCATTCTCCTGCCTCAGTCTCCTGAGTAGCTGGGACTACAGGCGCCTGCCACCATGCCCGGCTAAATTTTTGTATTTTTAGTAGAGAGGGGGGTTTCACCGTGTTAGCCAGGATGGTCTCAATCTCCTGACCTGGTGATCCGCCCCCCTCGGCCTCCCAAAGTGCTGGGATTACAGGCATGAGCCACCGCACCTGGCCGCCGGCATCTTTAATTCAGACTGCCAGCTTCCAGAACCCTGAGAAATACACTTCTGTTGTACATGCCAGTCCATGGTGTTCTGTTACATCAGCCCAAAGAGAATAAGACCGCGTGGTAACAGGCCATGATGACCCCCTAGTGATTGCTTTTGCCTGATCAAGGCAAGGCACCCCCGCCCTGAGCCAGATGCTGAGAGGGTGTGGTAGAGGCTGCACGGCAAGGGGCTGAGCCAGGTGGCTGCTGGTGCTCCTGCCTCTGACCGCCACCATGTATCCAGGATCCCTGCTGGCCAGGGCGCCCACCTGCCTGCTCCGGTTTGGTTCAGGGCCGGTGTGTGTGTGTGTGTGTGTGTGTGTGTGTGTGTGTGTGGTTCCCAGGGGACCCAGTGTAGCCACAGATGCCCCCCACCTGCCTCGAGAGGGAAATAAACATAAATATACCAAGACAGCTATGGGGTGCTGGGGTGAGCGGTTTATTGGATGTTTAAAGGACAGAGATCTGAACTCCTAGTGACTGCAGAGTGAGCAAGCACCCTGGGCTGTCCTGCAGGGCTGTCCGTGCTGGATGTGGTGCCAGCAGGCAGGGCTTGCGGATAGGCATTTGCTGCAGGTGGCTGGGGCGGTGGGGGGCTGGTCTCCAGATGCCTGGAAGGGAGGCCTTGAAAGTCATTCTTCTTGGATGCATGGGCCCATGGCATTTCTTGGTAGAAGGTCAAAGAGAAGTGTTCATGCTTGGCAAGGCAGGAGGGTGGGAGATAGGGTAGTGGGTGGGGAAGGAGAGTCTGGCTCACTGGGTGCCAGGAAAAGGAGGTAAAGGCTGGGCAGGAATGCCTGGCCATGGTAAGAGTCCTGCAAAGCCAGAAATCAGATCTTGCACTGGCAGCACACGGGGACACAGCAACTGGACTGGGAGCAGCAGGGCTTGCAGCAGCTGGATTGGCAACAGGATGACCCACAGCCTGAGGAACAGCAGCAGGGCTTACAGCAACTGCACTGGGAGCAGGATGACCCGCAGCCTCCCTTAGACCCCGCGCAAGAGCCACAACTGGAACAGGAACAGCAACACACGGGCACACCGCAGCCGGAGCCACAGCCCCCACAGCCGGAGCCACAACCCCCCTTGGATCCCCCACAAGAACCGCAGCCCCCCTTGCAGCCTCCACAGGAGCCACAGCCCCCCTTGGAGCCCCCACAAGAACCACAGGCCCCCTTGGAGCACCCACAGGAGCCACAGCCCCCTTTGCCACAGCTGGAGCAGGAACAAGCTGGCACACAGCAGCACATGGGCTTGCAGCAGCAGACAGGCACACAGCAGCTGGAGCCACATCCCCCACAGCCGGAACCACAGCCACCCTTGGATCCCCCACAAGAGCCACAGCCCCCCTTGGAGCCCCCACAGGAGCCACAACCCCCCTTGGATCCCCCACAAGAGCCACAGCCCCCCTTGCAGCCTCCACAGGAGCCACAGCCCCCCTTGGAGCCCCCAGAAGAGCCACAGCCCCCTTTGCCACAGCTGGAGCAGGAACAGGTTGGCACACGGCAGCACACGGGCTTGCAGCAGCAGACGGGCACACAGCAGCTGGAGCCAGAACCTCCACAGCCAGAGCCACAGCCCCCACAGCCGGAGCCACAGCCCCCACAGCCGGAGCCACAGCCCCCACAGCTGGAGCCACAGCCTCCGGAGCAGCCGCAACAGCCCATGGTTCTGGTGGATTGAGGGTGGAGCAGGTAGAGGAGCAGGTGAGAGGGAGGTGCAGGTGTGGAGCTCCCTGAGCCTGGACCCTTTATATCCCTGCCCAGGGTCATGTGTGAGGCTGGGCACACATTTCCTGGTTCCTGTTTGTGCCATTTTTAGGGCCCCTTTTTCTTGTTTCCTCTAGAAATCCGCCCCTTGGTGTATGGGCTGCTCAGTGGGCTGCTGCTCTCTTGCTGAATCTGTGTCCAGACTTAATGGAGGCCCCCAAGGGTCTAGCCTCTCCCTGTTGACTCCAGAGTCACACTGGATTTACAAAAGCATCTATTTTAGGCTGGGCATGGTGGCTCACACCTGTAATCTCAGCACTTTGGGAGGCCTAGGCAGGTGGATCACTTGAGGTGAGGGGTTGGAGACCAGCCTGGCCAAAATGGTGAAATCTCGTGTCTACTAAAAACACAAAAATTAACTGGGTGTGGTGGCTCACATCTGTAATCCCAGCACTTTGGGAGGCCGAGGCAGGTGGATCATTTGAGGTCAGGAGTTGGAGACCAGCCTGCCCAACATGGCAAAACCCCATCTCTACTAAAAATACAAAAATTAGCCAGGCATGGTGGTGCATGCTTGTAACTCCAGCTACTTGGGAGGCTGAGGCAGGAGAATGGCTTGAACCCAGAGGTGAAGGTTGCAGTGAGCAGAGATCACACCACTGCACTCTAGTGTGGGCAACAGAGCGGGACTCTGTCTCAAAAAAAAAAAAAAAGTGATCTATTTTAGTTGAACGATGGTATAAAGAGTAATATATTTAAAAAATGTAAAAAAAAACCCTACTCAACTTGGGAAAAAATGGCATAAATAAATGAAGTCTCTGTTCCTCCATCTCTCCATATTGTTTCTGTCCCACCCTAATAATTTCTTGAATTTGGAATTCACCACTCTCATGAAGGTCCTCACACTCCTACTTAATATGTATGTTCCTTTAAAAATGTTTTGTGGCCAGGCGCGGTGGCTCACACCTGTAATTTCAGCACTTTGGGAGGCTGAGGTGGGCGGATCATTTGAGTCCAGGAGTTTGAGACCAGCCTCACTAACATGGTGAAACCTCGTCTTTACTAAAAATACAAAAATTAACCAGGTATGGTGGCATGTGCCTGTAATCCCAGCTATTCGGGAGGCTGAGGCAGGAGAATCGCTTGAACCTGGGAGGCAGTGGTTGCAGTGAGCTGAAATCACGCCATTGCACTCCAGCCTGGGCAACAGAGTGAGACTCTATCTCAAAAAAAAAAAAAAAAAAAGAAAAGAAAAAAGAAAAAAAAATTTTACATGCTGAAAACTTTATGTAATGGGTATTACACTGTATTTCTCTTTCTGTAAATTGCTTTTGAAAAAAATAGGTGTTAGGCTAAAGAGATTTTCTCTAGGGATACATATGGTTTTAATTTATTTGTTTTCTCTGATTTCTAAATATACATTGACTTATCCATTTACTTGTTGATGGACCTTTTGTTTCCTTTTTGTTGCTATTTCAAGCAAGCTGCAACTTTCTTGCCCAAAACCCCTCCTGCAGGTGTGGGTGCCTGAAAGTCAGGAGGTTCTTGTTACCAAGCTGTCTTCCCAAGGGATCCCCCCAGCCAGCTGCTGTCCAACCAGCATTGCCAGAGAGCTCCTGTTTCCTGGCACCCCCACCAAAACTTGCAACTGTCAACTTACACCCTTCATGTGGGTGTGTAACACAGTGTTACACACTGTGGTTTAATATTCCCTCTTCCTGGTTACTAGCCATGCTGTGCCTCTTTCCATATGGTCACCTGTCATTAGAGTCTCGTTAATTTCACGTCCTTGGCCCACTTTACAAAATTGAGATAGTTATTATTATTAATTTTTGAGATGGAGAGTCTTGCTCTGTCTCCCAGGCTGTAGCGCAATGGTGCGATTTCGGCTCACTGCAACCTCCGCTTTCCATGCTCGAGCAATTCTCCTGCCTCAGCCTCCCGAGTATCTGGGATTACGGGCATGTGCTACCACACCTGGCTAATTTTTGTATTTTTAGTAGAGTCAAGGTTTCACCATGTTGGTCAGGCTGGTCTTGAACTCCTGACCTCAAGTGATCCACCCACCTCGGCCTCCCAGAGTGCTGGGATTACAGGTGTGAGCCACCACACCTGGCCAAGATCATTATTATTTTTATTGGTGTCTGAAGTTCTTTGAATTTTCTGGATTCTTTTATTTTGAGATGGAGTCTTGCTCTGTTGCCAGGCTGGAGTGCAGTGGCATGGTCTCGGCTCACTGCAGCCTCTGACTCCCTGGTTTGAGCAATTCTCCTGCTTCAGTCTCCCCTGGGATTACAGGCACGTGCCACCACACCCAGCTAATTTTTGTATTTTTAGTAGAGACAGGGTTTCACCGTGTTGGCCAGGCTGGTCTCCTGACCTCATGATCCACCTGCCTCAGCCTCCCAAAGTGCTGGGATTACAGGCGAGAGCCACAGCGCCCAGCCTTTTGTTTCTTCTTCTTCTTCTTCTTCTTTTTTTTTTTTTTTTTTTTGAGACAGAGTCTCGCTCTGTTGCGCAGGCTGGAGTGCAGTGGTGTGATCTCGGCTCACTGCAACCTCTGCCTCCGAGTTCAAGCAATTCTCCTGCCTCATCCTCCTGTGTTTCTTCTTAACATAGATGTCATTTATTCTAAGTTTTTCAAATTTATTGGGATGTACTTTTCATAGTTGCCTCTGTTTTTGAAGATGGGATCTTGCTATGTTGTCCAGGCTGGGGTGCAGTGGCCGTTCACAGGCACCATCATAGCTCACTGCAGTCTCGAACTCACGCCTGGCCTCAAGTGGTCCTCAGCCTCTGAAGTAGCTGGGACTACTACAGACTACCACATTTGACTACTACAAATCCCTACCGTGTGCCACCACGCCTGGCTTAGTAGCCTGTTATTTTTAATAGCTGCTAAATTTGTCATTATTTGCTTTCTTTTCTTTCTTTTTTTTTTATGGCAGGGTCTCACTCTGTCACCCAGGCTGGAGTACAGTGGTGTGATCTCGGCTCACCACAACCTCTGCCTCCCGGGTTCAAGTAATTCTCCTGCCTTAGCCTCCCGAGTAGCTGGGATTATAGGCACCTGCTATCATGCCTGGCTAATTTTTGTATTTTTAGTAGAGATAGGGTTTTGCCATGTTGGCCAGCCTGGTCTCGAACTCCTGGCTTCAGGTGATCCACCTGCCTTGGCCTCCCACGGTGCTGGGATTACAGGCGTGAGCCACCGTGCCCAGCCTATTTGCCGTTTTTCATCCCTGCTTCAGGTTATACATGCTCTTTCTCCTGCCCGACCCTTTTTTTCCTCATTGGTTTTGCTAAATATTGTTGATTTTCTTTGTCTTTTGAAAGACCAGCTTTTGATTTTGTTGATTCTGTTTGTTGTATGTGTTAAACATTTTTATTTAGTTCTGCTCATATCTTTATTTTCTCCATTGTTCTTTTTGCACTTTCTAAACATGCGGGTGCTGGGGTGCGTGACTGTCTGCTGGACGTGGACTGTCAGGCCAGGAGGCGTGCGATAGAGAGTCACTGCCATCTGGGCTTTCTATCTGTCCCTCCTTCCTTCCCTCCCTCCCTCCCTCCCTTTTCTGCAGTCATTTTCATTCAGCTTCTTTCAGCCTTTCTGCAAGCTTCTGGGTGAGGTAACTACTGTGGGGCTGCTTTAAAAGCTCCCATATTTTGGGGTCTCTGTTCTTTACCCGATGAGCTAAGCCTGTGGGGTTTGCTGTGATTTCTGACATACGTGGGCTGCTTCCCACCACCCTTTGCATTTCACCATCCTGTGGTAGTGCTTCCTTCCCCTCTTCTTTTAGATGGAGTTTTTAAGGTTCTGTTTTTGTTTTTATTTTGTTTTGCTTTGACTGACTTAGAAGTTATATACACTATTCCTGTTTTTAGCAGCAACCTTATGCATTTCATGTGTATTTTTAAACAAATGTTGTCTACACGTGATGGCCCTCTATTCCTCCCCTGCTGAGAGTTGTGCAGGGAGCTGGGGACAGCTTCTTCCCCTGCCCAGCCCCTCCGGTGTCAGCTGTGGGAGTTTCTCCAGCGTCTTAGCTCCTCTCACATTGCTCATCATTGTTTATTTATAGTCAGTATTTGCTTAAACTTGCCACACATCCACCAACAACTCTAGGCGTGGTTCTTGCTTACACCATACTTCTTCCTTCCGGGCTCAGCTTCCTTCTTCCTGAAAACATCCTCCGGAAGTTCCCTCACAAGCATTCATCAGTAGACAGTCTGCATTTTTACATGGAGGTGGCTTGTTTCCTGCTCCTCCTGAGCATTCATCAGTAGACAGCCTGCATTTTCACATGGAGGTGGCTTGTTTCCTGCTCCTCCCGAGCATTCATCAGTAGACAGCCTGCATTTTCACATGGAGGTGGCTTGTTTCCTGCTCCTCCCGAGCATTCATCAGTAGACAGCCTGCATTTTCACATGGAGGTGGCTTGTTTCCTGCTCCTCCCGAGCATTCATCAGTAGACAGCCTGCATTTTCACATGGAGGTGGCTTGTTTCCTGCTCCTCCCGAGCATTCATCAGTAGACAGCCTGCATTTTCACATGGAGGTGGCTTGTTTCCTGCTCCTGGGCTCAAGCCATCCTTTCTCCTCAGCCTCCCCAGCAGCTGGGATGACAAAGGCACACCATCACACTCAGCTAATTTTAATTTCTGTGTAGAGATGGGGTCTCTCTAAGTTGCCCAAGCTGGTCTAGAGTTCCTTGGCTCAAGCAACCCTCCCACCTTGGCCTCCCAAAGTGCTGGGATTACAGACGTGAGCCACTATGCCTGGCCTGCCCTCACTTTTGAATAATGCTTTGGTTGGCACAAAATTCCTCAGTGCTTGAAAGGTGTCACTGGCGGCTGTTTCGTCTGTTGCTGCTGTCACTTTCTCTGCCCCTCCGCTGGAGTCCCCAGCCTTCTGAGTCTGCTGTGGAAGCTGGAGTCTCTGGCCTTCTGTGTCCGCTGTGAAAGCTGGAGTCCTGGTCTTCCGTGTCTACTGTGGAAGCTGGAGCTGCCTGGCCTTCTGTGTCTGCTGTGCAGGCTGGAGTCCCTGGCCTTCCATGTCTGCTGTGGAAGCTGGCTTGCACATTTGGTTCTCCCACCTGCTTCATGCCATGTCCTTCCTGGACCGAGGGTTCCAGTTTCAACCTTGGGAGACTCTCCCTGTCTCACCTCTCCCGAGTCTCTCTCATCTCTAGTTGGACAAATGTCAAATCTACTACATGTCCCCATATGTCTTTTTTTTTTTTTTTTTTTTTAAGACAGAGCCCTGTTCTGTTGCCTAGGCTGGAGTGCAGTGGCAAGATCTTGGTTCACTGCAACCTCCAACTCCCGGAGTCAAGTGATTCTTCTACCTCAACCTCCCAAGTAGCTGGGATTACAGGCGCCTGTCACCATGCCCAGCTATTTTATTTTATTTTATTTTTTGTATTTTTAGTAGAGAAGGGGTTTCACCATGCTGGCCAGGCTGGTCTCAAACTCCTGACCTCATGATCCGCCTGCCTTGGCTGCCCAAAGTGCTGGGATTACAGGCGTGAACCACTGCGCCTGGCCCCCATGTGTCTTTTTTAAAAAAAGAAAACCGTTTTATTGAGATAAATGTGCATATACAGTTTGTCTATTTAAAAGTCCACAATCTGGCCAGGCGTGGTGGCTCACACCTGTAATCCCTGCACTTTGGGTGGCTAAGGTGGGTGGATCACCTGAGGCCAGGAGTTCAAGACCAGCCTGGCCAACATGATGAAACTCTGTCTCTACTAAAAATACAAAAATTAGCTGGGTGTGGTGGTGCATGCCTGTAATCCCAGCTACTTGGGAGGCTGAGGCAGGAGAATGGCTTGAACCCAGGAGCGGAGGTTGCAGTGAGCTGAGATCTTGCCACTACACTCCAACTTGGGCAACAGAGTGAGACTCCATCTCAAAAAAATAAATAAATAAAAGAAGACCGTCATAAGTGGAGAAATATATCATGTTCATGGGTGGAAAGTCTTAACATTATAAAAAGTTCAGTTTCTTATATTCATACATTCAATGGATTTTATTCAATTAAAATTCCAGAAGGATTTAATTCTGAAAATTATTCCATAGATCTAAAATTTATGTGCAAACTTGTGAATAACTGAGACACTCCTGAATAATATTCAGAAGGGGTAGTCTCTGCCTGATATTAAGGCATAATAAAGTCTTCGTTGTTAAAACAGTTTGCTACTAGCACATGAATGGATAAATAGTTAGAAGTACAGAACAGGAACCCAGAAAAGACCCATCTATTGCAGAGCTTTAATTTTTTTTTTTTTTTTTTTTGAGATAGAGTTTCACTCTTATTGCCCAGGCTGGAGTGCAATGGCACGATCTTGGCTCACCACAACCTCCACCTCCCGGGTACAAGCAATTCTCCTGCTTTAGCCTCCCGAGTAGCTGGGATTACAGGCATGCACCACCACACTGGCTAATTTTGTATTTTAGTAGAGACGGGGTGTCTCCGTGTTGGTCAAGCTGGTCTCGAACTCCTGACCTCAGGTGGTCCACCTGCCTCAGCCTCCCAAAGTGCTGGGATTACAGGCGTGAGCCACCGTGCCCAGCCAGAGGAGCTTTAATCTTTAACAAATTGAATGGGGAAGATGGCTCACTCTATGCAGAGAATTAAAATTAGATGCCTACCTCACACCCTCTATAATCCACATGGATTGAAGACCTAAAAGGATATGTAAAAGTGAAAGGAAAATATAAAAAGAGTGGAAGATAATATAGGAGATTGTGTTTATTATCTTGGGGTCAGGAAATGAATTCTTAAATATGATCCCCAGAACATAAACAGTAATTAGGAAAATGCTGTATTTAACCACATCAAAATTACTGATATATGTCTGGATATCACCCCACAAAAAAACCATTAAAAGATGATTGGGGCCAAGTGTGGTGGGTCACCCCTGTAATCCCAGCACTTTGGGAGGCCGAGGTGGGCAGATCACCTGATGTCAGGCGTTCGAGACCAGCCTGACCAACGTGGTAAAACCCCATCTATACTAAAAATACAAAATTAGCCAGGTGTGGTAGTGCATGCCTGTAATCCCAGCTACTCGGGATGCTGAGGCAGGAGAATTGCTTAAACCTGGGAGGTGGAGGTTGCAGTGAGCCGAGATTGCACCATTGCACTCCCGCCTGGGCAGCAAGGTGAAACTCCGTCTCAAAAAAAAAGAAGATTGATCAACTGGGAGAAGATATTTGCCATTTGCCATATTTATAACCCCTAGAAGCTAATGTCTAGACAGGAACCCTGAAAATCAACAGAAGAGGGCAGGAGACCTAGTGGAGAAGTGGGCAAAGCATAGGAATAGACCACCCACAGATGGCTAGTGAGGACGCGAAAAGACCTTCAACCTTATTTTTAATCAGAGTTAAGCAATGAAAACAAAACGCCCCTGGTTTTTGAAGAGAATGGAAACACCTGCAGTCTTACTGATATGTTACATTTAGCGCGTGGTATTTAGTGAGAGGCGTGAGCAGCTATGTGCTTACCTGCAGCATACAGCGGGAGTCGTTACGTGACTTCTGCCTTTCAAGCACATACAGTGTAATGGGATCCATCCATCACACAAATATACTAGCTCTGTACACAGCCTTGAGGAGGAGCAATATTTTTGGTTGTTATAAACTGCATTTTTTTTTTTTGGTATGGCCTTTTGATTCTGGGAAGCACATTCATTCTATGGCTATTGCCTTTTTAGATCATGAAAGCATCATTCCATATTGATGAAGAAGATGTAGATATGGCACTGATCAACACCTCAGTCGCCTTCCTTCCAAAACAGATACTTCTCAAGAAATCTGGGGCCGGGTGTAGTGGCTCACGCCTGTAATTCCAGCACTTTGGGAGGCCAAGGTGGGCAGATCACAAGGTCAGGAGATGGAGACCATCCTGGTTAACACAGTGAAAACCCATCTCTACTAAAAATACAAAAAATTATCCGGGCGTGGTGGCGGGTGCCTGTAGTCCCAGCTACTCAGGAGGCTGAGGCAGGAGAATGGCGTGAACTCAGGAGGCAGAGCTTGCAGTGAGCTGAGATCGTGCCACTGCACTCCAACCTGGGCGACAGAATGAGACTGTATCTCAAAAAAAAAAGGAAAAGAAATCTGTTCTCCCAGGCTCCCCATTTCAGCATCCCACTCATTGATCATTGAAAACTCATTCACTAGGTTCACCACTCCTGGGTGTTATGCTGAGCAATGAGGATATTCATCATGGTGGATTATATGGCAGCAAAGAGCTCAAAAAAGGGTGATGGATGTGGGAAATGGGGGGCAGGAATCTAGTGGAACACACTTCAGTGGCCAGAAATAATGCATTGTATTTTCATGTAGCAATACATGCCAAAAGCACCAGATTTGCTTAAAACGCAAGAAACAGAACAGAATTTATAACCATCATGAATTTAAATAACATACACAAGGCTGGACACAGTGGCTCACGTCTGTAATCCCAGCACTTTGGGAGGGCCAGGCAGGTGGATTACTTGAGTCCAGGAGTTCGAGACCAGCCTGGGCAACGTGGTGAAACCCTATCTCTACAAAAAATACAAAAATTAGCCAGGTGTGGAGGTGCGACTGTAGTCCCAGCTACTTGGGAGGCTGAGGCAGGAGGATCGTTTGAGCCCGGGATGTGGAGGTTGCAGTGAGCTGAGATTGCACCGTTGCACTCTATCTCCAGCTTGGGTGACAGAGCAAGACCTGTCTCAAAAACAAAACCAAAACCAAATACATACACATTGAAAAATGCTACATATTTGTCATGATTATATGCAAATGTTTGTAAATAACTTATGGAAGATGAATTGGAAAGATACCTGCAAGGATGGATGCCTATGGGTGGAGAGGATGATGGGACTTGGGATAATGAAGGAGAAAAAAGTTAAATAAAAACAATGTCTATATAGGATTCATTAGCTGAGGATTGTGATCTATAAAATTCTCAGCACATATATGATGCATGCATATATATATATATGTATATATATATTTTTTGAGATGGAGTCTCACTCTGGTTGCCCAGGCTGGAGTGCAGTGGCGTGATCTTGGCTCACTGCAACCTCTGCCTCCTGGGTTCAAGCGATTCTTCTCCCTCAGCCTCCTGAGTAGCTGGGATTACAGGCGTGCCCCACCATGCCCAGCTATTTTTTTTGTTAGTTTTAGTAGAGATTGGGTTTCACCACGTTGGTCAGGCTGGTCTCAAACTTCCGACCTCAGGTGATCTGTGCGCCTCAGACTCCCAAAGTGCTGGGATTACAGGTGTGAGCCACTGCACCCAGCCAGGCCTTTGTTTTTATTTTGCCTACTATTAGTATAGCTTGCTTTGCATGTTATGTCTTTTTCTACCCCCCCTTCTTTTTTTTTTTTTACATTTTTGAATCCTTATGTTTTAGATGCAACTTTTGACTTTACATCTAGTTATACATTTTTTAAGAAAACTTGTCTAGCAATCTTTATATGTAAACTAGAGCATTTTGTCCATTTACTTGTGAAATAATTACTGAAATATTTGGGTTTAAAACCTATGTTCTTAGTCTGAATTTTCTATTGCATCACCTGATCTATATTTCTTTTTCTCTTCTGTTCTTTTTGATTAGTGCTTTTTTATTCTAGTTTTTTATGTAATTGTTTGACTGTCATACATGACTTTGGTTAGGAGTCTTGGATCTTCTTTGCTTCTTTTCAATTTTTGTCATTGTCTCTTGAATCCTTTTTAGTTCTTCATTTCTTTTTGGTTTTTAAAATTTATTGTACTTTTTTACTCATACGTTTGTCCCACTTTAGACTTTATTTCTAGAGTGATTTCTTTTAACTCTAATTTTCTCTTAAGTGATGTCCCCTCATTTAGCAATTCTTCTATTTATGACTTTTGTTGTTCATTTATGTCTCTTTTTTTGAGATGGGGTTTCACTCTGTTGCCCAGGCTGGAGTGCAGTGGCAGGATCATAGCTCACTGCAGCCTCAACCTCCTAGGCTCAAGCAATCCTCCCGCCTCAACTTCCCTAGCAGCTGGGATTAAAGACACACACCACCATACCCACTTAGTTTTTAAAATGTTTTGTAGAGGTGGGGGTCTCACTATGTTGCCCAGGCTGGTTTTGAACTCCTGGCCTCAAGTGATCCTCCTGCCTCACCTCCCAAAGTGCTGGGATTACAGGTGTGAGCCACCGCGCCCGGCCTTATTTATGTCTGGTATCATTTCCTTTCATTGTTCATTAGCTCCTTTGGAAACAGTAGGCTACCACTGTGATCTGTTTCACGGCAGGCTTCCTAGCTTTCTTCCATTGCCTCTAGGGACTTACCGAGGGCCCTTGCACCCACTCACCACTAGAGGGAGGAAAACCTTCCCCATTTCAGGAGCCAAATCCAAAATTCATGCTGCGCTTTTCCAGCACACACCTGTTGGCTCTTTTGAGGTTCCCCTGTTTTCGTCTCTGTTAGATGTTTCTTCGCTTTCTCCTGCACAGACACTGAAACCCTGGGGGACTGTGGCTCTTGGAAATTTATCCCCACCTTCTTGTACTTTTAGGTTCACCTGCTTTTTCTTAAGACACCATCTCACTTTATATTGCCCAGGCTGGAGTTCAGTGGTGCGATCACAGCTCACTGCAGCCTCAGACTCCTAGGCTCAAGCCATCCTCCTGCCTCAGTCTCCCAAGTAGCTGGGGCTGCAGGTTTGCGCTACCATGCCTGGCTTACCTGGTTTTGTTATAAGTCTCCAGCATGCATTTTTGGTTTTGTTACCGAGTTGCTCGGTGTCCTGTGGGCTGTGGGAATGTACAGGGCCCAAATGTAATGAACTCTGCGTTCATGTCTGCTGCCACCTTCTGGAGTTTCCCAGTTTGGATTTTTGAGTAAACTGTCTTAAGCAGCATTTCCTTTTAACGTCGTGAAACTAACGATAGCCATGTCCCCTAGCAAGATGCACCTTTGACACACTTTTATTCCCTCTCCTAAAAGTGGCTGAATTAATCTAAGCCTTTATTTCTAGATTATTTCATTTTTCCTTACATTGCATCTCTTTTCTCTCAGAAATTTGTCCTGGAAATTCCCACTCTGCTCTTCCCTGGCATTATCAGCAGTCGCTTAGATCTGTGGGTGTTCTGTGGGAGCTCATTTCTCACCAGCGCTCCCTGTGTGCTCTCTTCCCTCCACCTTTTCCCTCCAGGTTCGCTTGTCTGGAGATCATCCTCAGATCACTCTCGTCCCCTCCTCCCCAGTGCGTGATTTCTAAAGCCTTGCCTGTGACACTGGTCAGAGAACAGGCTCAGCGTGGTGGCACGTCACCATGAAACAGATGGACTTGGCTCAGGGTCCCCAAATGTGTCATTTCCCAGGAACTCCCCTTTCCTGCCGGGAGACTGAGCTCCGAGGACACCTTGGGCCATTCTGTAACTTCCTGGTTACCTTTAGTTATGGAAAGCCGTTGACCTCATGATTGTAAAAGGCTAATTGAGTGTTTGAATCAGACCGCGCTGGAGCTCAGCGGTGCTTCACTCCTCCCTCCTCCGACCTTGCCCTGCCTGGGGTCCTTCCGAGGCCCCAGAGGAGAGCGGGAAGCTGGAAGCCATGGGTCTTGTGCAAGGCCCTGCTTGGCTGGTCGTCAGGACTCAGGGCCCGCCTGCCCCTCTGCGCCTCTAGGGCGGGCATTGAATGCCGAATCCTCCCCGGGCTGAGCCCTCTTCTCCTGCAAGCAGAGACTGTGAAGATATTTGAGGCCGAGAGGAGGACAGAAGGGAATGGCAGGCTTTTTTGTGAATGTACCAGGCCTGCTGGCAGGCGTTTCCCAGCTTAGCTGACAGATCAGAACACAGAATCGGTCACCGCACAGGAAAGGGGTTGGACAGAATTGCACCAAGTATACAGTTGATTTACAGACATGAGAGGCTTTATTGCAAGGAAATTCATTCATTATTTTGTTATTTTTTTTTAAACAGATGGAGACAACAGGAAGGAAAGAGACCTTCCTGGTCACACTTGGGCCACAGGAGAACAGGCAGCGGCCCAGGAGGATCCAGGGTCCTGATGGTGGTTGAGAAGCTGGTTCTTAGTGATCACTCAGAAACGTCGGCCTGGCCTTGTGGGGTCAGACCTTGCATCTCAGTCAGCCCAGGGAGAAGAAGAAGATGGTCCACACCCAAGTGCAGGGAACATCGTGGCAGTCGGCTGGGTGCCTGCGTCCAGGCGAGGACACCTCCCGCATCAGGGAAACACACGTTTCTGGAGTGAGGAGGCTGAAGGCAGGGCCCAGAGGAGAGCTGAGCCATGGAAGGAGGTGTGTGCATGGATGGTGAGCTAGAGCAGGTGCAGGTGCCTCAGGGAGGATGTGTGGGACGAACTGACTCAGGGAACCATAAGAAATGCTTTCACCAAACAGGAGAAACCTGAAGGTCTGGGTCCAGAGCCTCAGATCTTACACTGGCAGCACACAGGGACACAACAGTTGGACTGGCAGCAACAGGGCTTGCAGCAGCTGGACTGGCAGCACACGGGGACACAGCAGCTGGACTGGCAGCAGCAGGGCTTGCAGCAGCTGGACTGGCAGCAGGATGATCCACAGCCTGAGGAGCAGCAACAGGGCTTACAACAGCTGGACTGGGAGCAGCCACAAGAACCACAGCCCCCCTTGGAACCCCCACAGGAGCCACAGCCCCCCTTGGAGCCCCCACAGGAGCCACAGCCCCCCTTGGAGCCCCCACAGGAGCCACAGCTGGTGCAGGAACAGGCTGGCACCCAGGAGCACACGGGCTTGCAGCAGCAGACAGGCACATAACATCTGGAGCCACATCCCCCACAGCTGGAGCTGCAGCCCCCACAGCCAGAGCCACAGCCCCCACGGCCGGAGCCACAGCCCCCACAGCCAGAGCCACAACCCCCACAGCTGGAGCCACAGCCCCCACAGCCGGAGCCACAGCCTCTGGAGCAGCCACAGCAGCCCATGGTTCTGGTGGATTGAGGGTGGAGCAGGTAGAGGAGCAGGTGAGAGGGAGGTGCAGGTGTGGAGCTCCCTGAGCCTGGGCTCTTTATATACCTGTCCAGATGTCAGGCATGACACAGGGTCCCTTTCTTGTGACTGTTTACACTATTTTTCCAGAGCTCTATTTTTTTCCTCTTTGCTAGTGACTTCCTTCTGGCTCAGTTGAGCATCTACTTTCTTTGTTTTCTAAATTTGTCTTTTTCCCCATTTGTTTTGGCCCCTACAATTAAAACCTCAGCTCCAGGCTGTCTGGTTCTTCCTGCAAAGCTCCAGGGTGCTGGTCACCTGCTCTCTGCTGACCACATGTGACCAATGGGCAACAGCCTCTGCCCACGTGCTCTCATCTTTCCTGTGTTGACTCCCTCAATAATATTAATTTTACATTTTTAGATTTCAAAATTATCCACGATCTTTATACTCATGCCAGTCTCAGCTTTCCGGGTGTGTTAGACCATTCTTTGCATTGCTCTAAAGAAATACTTGAGGCTGGGTAATTTATAAAGGAAAGAGGTTAGAATGGCTCATGGTTCTGCAGGCTGCACAAGCATGGCACCCACCTCTGCTCAGCTTCTGGGGAGGCCCTCAGGGAGTTTTCCTCACGGTGGAAGGCGAAGCAGGAACAGGCACACCACATGGTGAGAGTGGGAGCAAGGGGTGAGGAGGAGCCACACACTTGTGAACAACCAGATCTGAGTGAACACACTCATCGCCAAGGGGGTGGCACTAAGTCACTCATGAGGGATCCACCCCCATGACCCAGACACCTCCCTGCAGGCCCCTCCTTCAACACTGGCCAACAACTATATGAAAAAATGCTCCACATCACTAACTATTCGGGGAATGTAAATCGAAACCACCACGAGATACCATCTCATATCAGTCAGAATGGCTTTTGATAAAAAGTAAAAAACAAAACAAAACAAAAAAACCTAAAATCAGATGCTGGCAAAGCTTGAGAGAGAAGGGAACACTTGTACACTGTCGGTGGGAATGTAAATGAATTCAGCCACCACGGAGAGCAGTTTGGAGATTTCTCAAAGAGCTAAGAATTGAACTACTATTTGACCCAGCAATCTCATGATTGGGTATATACCCAAAGGAAAATAAATCAATCTACCAAAAAGACACATGCATCCATATGTTAATTGCAGTGCTATTCACAAAAGCAAAGATGTGGAATCAACCCAGGTGCCCATCAATGGTGGATTGGATAAAGAAAATGTGGTACATATACACCATGGAATACTACACAGCTGCAAAAAAGAACGAAGTCATATCTTTTGCAGCAGTATGGATGAAGCTGGAGGCCGTTATCCTAAGGGAACTAATGCAGAAGCAGAAAACCAAATACCACATATTCTCACTTATAAGTGAGAGCTAAACTTTGAGTCCACATGGACATAAAGATGAAAACCATAGACACTGGGGAACAAGAGGAGGGAGGAAGGGAGGGAGGGGGCAAAGGCTGAATACTGGGGAACAAGAGGAGAGAGCAAGGGGGCAAGGACTGAAAAACTACTGGGTACCACAGTCACTATTTTGGTGATGGATTCATTCATACTCCAAACCTCAGCATCACACAATATACCCATGTGAAAAACCTGCACATGTACTGCCTGATTCTAAAATAAAAGTTGAAGAAAAAGTTCTTTATATACTCTAGATACTAGATGCTTATCAGATATCTGATTTGTAAATCTTTTCTTCCTTTATTATGTAGACTGTTCTTTCACTTTGTTGATAGCGTCCTTTGGTGCAAAAATATTTAACTTTTGATGGCATCCAATGTATTTGTATTTCTCTTTTGTTGCTGGTGCTTTTGGTGTCCTATCTATGAATCCACACCGAATCCAAGGTCATGTTTTCTTTTAATAGTTTTATAGATTTGACTCTTAAATGTAGGCCTTTTGACCCATTTTAAATTAATTAGTGTATGTGGTGTGAAGTAGGGGTCCAGCTCATTCCTGTGCATGTGGATGTCTAGTTTCCCAGCATCATTTGTTGAAGTACTGCTCTTCCTCCATTGAATGATCTGGCACCCTGTCAAAAATCAGTTGGTCATCTACATGAGGGTTTATTTCTGGCTCTCAATTCTATTCCACTGGTTTATACATTTATTCTAACAACAGTGCTAAACTGCCCTGATGACTGCAGCTTTGTAGTAAGTTTTCAAATTGGCAAGTGTGAGCCCTCCAACATTGTTCTTCTTTTTAACCTTGTTTTAGCTATTCCGGGTCCCTTGAGATTCCACATGAACTTTAAAATCAGCCTGTGAATTTCTACAAAGAAGCCAGCTGCTTTCCTGATAGAGATTGCATAGACTCTGTAGATCAATTTTGGGGGTATTGCCATCTGAAAAATGTTAAGTCTCCTGATACATGAACATCAGTCTGCTTTTGGGCTGCCATAACAAAATACCACGGATTTGGTGGCCCAACAACAGGCATTTATTTTCTCACAATTCAGAAGTCCAAGATCGGGTGCAAGCAACTTTTGTTTCTGGTGAGGGCTCTCTCCTTTGGTTGCAGATGGCCGCTTTCCCACTCTTTGCTCACATGGCCTTTCCTTTGTGTGTGGAGAGAGAAAGAGTTGGAGGGAGGAAGAGAGAGAGAGAGAGAGAGAGAGAAAGAGAGAGCGAGACAGAGGCAAATGCTCCCTGGTGTCTCTTCTTATGAAGATGCAAATCCTGTGGAAGCCCTTATGACCTTACGTAACCTTAATTTCTTCCTTGGAGAACTCGTCTCCATATACAACCACAATGGGAGTGATGGATTCAACATATGAATTTGAAAGAACATGAATATTCAGTCCACAACAAATCTGGGATGTTTTAGATCTTCTTTAGTTTCTTTCAACAGTGTTTTGTCACTTTCAGAGTTGCAAGTGAGTAGAAATACAATTGATTTTTATATATTGGTCCTGTATTCTGAAAACTTGCTGGATTCATTTATTAGTTCTATAATCTATAAAACACTGGCCGAGCACGATGGCTCATGCCTATAATCCCAGCAATTTGGGAGCCCAAGGCAGGTGGATCACATGAGGCCAAGAGTTCAAGACCAGCCAGGCCAACATGGTGAAACCTCATCTCTACTAAAAATATAAAAACTAGCTGGGCACGGTGGTGCATGCCTGTAATCACAGCTACTTGGGAGGCTGAGGTGGAAGAATTGCTTGAACCAAGGAGGCAGAGGTTGTAGTAAGCTGACATTGTGCCACTGCACTCCAACAACCGAGCGAGACCCTGTCTCAAAAAAAAAATCTATAAAACATTAGTAGCTCTTACAAATTGACAAGTAGAATACAAACAACCAAGTTTTTAAAAAGATGATTCTCTGATAAACAAATGGAAGTGTGCAATTAAAAATATAAAAAGTAAATCAGACTCACTGGTAGTCAGATACACGGGATCTTTTCTGTGGAGTCCTAATGATGGAAAAGGAGCCAGGTTGGTTGGACCAAGGGAAAGCAAAAAGAGAAGGCAGATGAACTACAAGTCTGCCTTTCTTCCTGGTGCAGGACTTAGCCCTCCTATGCAAATAACTCACATAACTCACAATCTTCCTGCACTCAACTTATGACCTCAGTTGATAGAAAAATGCAAATTAGCTCACTGAAACCTTGGCATTATCAGCACTGCATGTAACCCTCTCCGGCACAAGCACCATCCTATAAAATCCCCAGCAAGCCTTTGTCTCCTGGCAGCCAGCTCCTCCCTTGCTGACCTGCCCTTTCCATTCTTGCAACGTATTTTCCTACATTCTCTAATAAATCTGCCTTTCCTTACCTACAACTGTCTTGGTAAATTCCTTTTCTGCCCACGCTAGTGGACTCAGTTAGTGGCTACCTGCAACATTTTATATCTACTAGACTGACCAAAATTAACAAGAATAATAACACCTATTGCTAGTGAAATTGGGGGAAAAGGTACTCATACATTGTTCTGGGGATACAATTTATTACAGTTTTTTTGAAAACAATATCTAATAAAATTAGGTCATATCAATACAATTAGTCTTGAAATTACTGAAAAAAGATTAAACGTAAACATATTCGTGTATACATATATGTGTATGATCTATTATTTACAGTGTCAGAAAAAGAATCCTAGCAAATTGAAAATTAATACTAAAAGTCATACCCACTAAAAAATAAGATTACACCTGTACCAGTGGACTTGGAGAAATTTCCTCAAGGCTCTGGCTAGTGTGAAATGTAGATGCAGAGAAATGAGCCCTGTAGGATCCTATTTTAGTAGCAAGCAATAAAAATATCTTTTACACATATGTTGAGTGTGTGCCTGGGGTACGTAGGACAGTGGCTGGGTGGAGTGGGGAAGGTGTGTAGGAATCAACAAAAAGCAAATGACAGTGAAAAGTGAGTCCAGTATGTGTGATCCTACTTGTGGAAAAACTCCACATATATGAATACGCATGCGCGTAAAGAAACATAGACTTATACCCAGATCTACTTCCTAGGAGAGGCAACCATGATACAAGTTCTAGTGAAAAGAATTAAGTTGCAAAGAAATGTGGATAATAAAATCCGAATTGGTAGCAATACCCAATTGTGTATGCGCATCTATTTTTTATACATTGTATGTGCAAGTAGGAGGGTTGGGTGGGGGTGCCTGTGGGGCCTGGCACTGGGGGTGGCTTTTATTGTTTTTTAATTGTGTATATTTAAGACATACAATTCGATGATCTCATATATGTCTACATTGTGAAATAATCACCACAGTCAAGATAATTAAGACATCTGCCACTTCACATAGCTCTCTCTCTCTCTCTCTCTTTTCTTGGTGGTGAGAACATGTAGGATCTACCCTCTCAGTACGTTTTAAGTACATAATAAACACCGTGTTGTTACCTGTGGTCACTTTGCTATGCATTGGGTCTCCAAGCCTTATTTATCTTGAAGAACTGAAGCTTTGGACCCCTGGGCCAGCACCTCCTCATTTCCCCTTTCCCTGCCTCTGGTTCCCATGCTTGCACTCTGTGCTTCTGTGAGTTTCACTCCTGTAGACTCCATGTGTGAGGGAGAGCGTGTGATGTCTGTCTTTCTGTGTCTGCCTCTTTTCACCCTGTGTAATGTCCTCCAGATTTGTACATGTTGTTGTAAGTAACCAGATCTCCTTCTTTTGAAAGCTGAAGAATATTCCATATATACACGTATAGATGTATGCATATATTCCACATTTTGAAAAAGTCAAATACATAGAAACATAGAATAGAACAGTAGTTACCAGGGTCTGGAGGAAGAAGGAAAGGGGGAGGAGGAGGTCAAGGGCTTGCGGTTGTGTAGGAGAGGGAGCCGAGCAGTCCAGTGCACAGTGCAAGGACTACAGGTGACAGTCAGGTGTTGTGTGTGGCAGGTGTGCTGAGAGAAGACTCCAGGTGCTCCTACCACACACACATACACACACACTAACATCGTACACACATACTTACCCTCATACACACACATACACACACACACTCACCCTCATACACATACATACATACACACAGTCTCACACACAATTAAAAACACACCTTACACACACTCATACACACATAATCATACAAACACACACACTCATACACATGCATACACACTCATACACACACTTATCCAAACACACCCATGCACACACACTTATACACACACATACAAAAAGGAACCATGGAAGGTGTTGGAGATATTAATTGCAGCCATCATTTCAGTAGTGTACATGTTTACCACAGCACCATGTTGTCCACCATGAATATGTACAATAAAAATAAATGTAAAAAAAGATGTGTCTTGGGAGAGTCCTTCATAATAACACCTGAGAGGTGTCACCTTTCTTGACTTTTTCTGACCATGAAATGCACCTGCCAAGGATGGCAGACGTAGGGAACTGACCTCCTGGGCCCTCACGTGCCCAATTATCTTTGGCCCTCCGGACTGGAGCAGTTTGTAGACCTTGGAAGCAGGGCCCCAGCACTGACTGCTTGGCCTCAGGCCTCTGCCCCATCGGTGGTCAGGTGGCGGCCACGAGGGCGTGGGAGCTTGGCCATCCCTGCCTCCTGGAGTGGACGAGGTTGGCGGCTGGTCAGCCTGCTCCTGCCCCACCCTTGCCTCATGGACCCTGGTAGCATCACTGGCTCAGCCTTGCTGGGCATGCACAGGCAGCAGCACCCGCTCTGATCCAGGAGGCTTGCCCTGCTTTTGGCTAAGTTCTGGGTCCGGCCACTGCCACAGAAGGCTCAGTCCCCTGTGTGATCCTCCTGGCTGCTGCTGGGTGCCCATGGCGCCCCTGATGCCCTTCCCTTGACAGGGCTTGGGTTAGCATCAGGCCAGGACCCTCTGGGACTGGGACTTGTGCCCTGTCTGGGGTCCCTGTCCCACAGGTTGGGCCAGAGGCCACAGGGCATGCTGCTGGCTGGCCATGGCTGCAGGAACGTGACACTCACCCTTCCCTCTGGCAGCCTCCAAGTGATGAGTTTTCCAGTGGATATTAATTTCCTGAGGCCAGGAGCCATCTGGGGCTACAGGGCAGCCTGCCGTGTGCCATCCTGGCCCCTTCCACACCATGCTGGCCACTGCCTGTCATGGGGGTCGGAAGCAGGCGATCCCGTGCAGGAGGTGTCTCTGGACCTGCCTCTTCTCTTGCTCATCACAAGGCCAGGCCAAGCCTGGTGTCAGGACCCTGGTGGGGTTGCAGGGCCAGGCCTGTCCCCTGTGCCTGGGGTGTCCAGGGCACACATAGAGGAAATAGGGGCCCTGCATCCCGGCTCCTCAATGTACTGTAGAAATCATGGGCCCTCAACATTCAGGTCCGTGGGAGGCATCCACAGAGACTTCCAATGAAGGAACTGTTAGACAACTCCTGGTCTCTCCTGAGCTGGGGACAGGCCAGCCACACCCTGAGCCCCTGGGGACCCCCAGAGAGTGGCCTACTGTCTTGGGCTCTGAGGAAGTGCTCTCATTGTAGAGCACGGGGGATGTTGTGGCCCACTCCTCTCAATTTTGCTGTGAACCTAAAACTGCTCTGAAAAAAAAGTCCATTAAAGGAACTAGCATGGGCTGATGGGGAGGGGCTCATTCACCCCTGAGTTGGACACCGTGTGGCTACGAATCCACCCTCAGACCACAGAGTGGATTTCGGCAGCAACACCACACCCTAGCCTCATCCTGAGCTCAAATTTAACTCAGATAGACCAGGCCCTTTTTCTATCGTTCTTAGCCACCATTAAACCAGGTCACTCGTTCTGTGTTTTTGCAATTGGCTTTTAAACAAAAGAGCTGGGTTTGGTGTATGTTTCCTTGTCAAATATTTTTTTCCAATAACACAGGTGGAAGAAAACAGACAGGGCCTCTTTCTGGTCCAGCCATGGGGTGGAGGCCGTTTTTGACTTTCACCTTCCTCTGTGGGTCCAGCTCTCTCTTGCTTGTTGGCTCTGAGGATTATTTAGTTTTTCAACAGCTCAGTGACTTAAAAAAAATATATATGCTTTAAACATAGCACTTTAAAGCTTTATTTATTTACTTACTTATGTATTTATTTATTTATTTATTTAGAGAAAGAGTCTAGCTCTGTCGCCCAGGCTGGAATGCAGTGGTGCGATCTAGGCTCGCTGCAACCTCCGCCTCCTGGGTTCAAGCAATTCTCTTTCGTCAGCCTCCCAAGTAGCTGGGATACAGGCGCCCACCACCATGCCTGGCTAATTTTTGTATTTTTAGTGGAGACGGGGTTTCACCATGTCCTTTTAGAAGTTTCAGGGTTGTGAATAGTGTCTAGTCAACCTTACTACCGAAACAGAAACTCAGAAGCAATTTCTGAAACTTCCGTGTTGTTGAGTTTTCACTTTCTTGTCGCAGTTCCGCCAGGCACTCACTGCCTACCATCCTGTGAGACGGTGGCTTCCCGAGCAGCCTCCAGCGCTCTGCTGTTACAGACGCCTGGGTCTGGGGGCTCCAGCCTTGCAGCCCACCTCCTCCTCCGCCAGCTCCTGCCTTCCCTCCCCATGAGTCGAACATGCTGGACTTTGGTCTAGGCCCTCCAGCCTCCGGAACTGGGAGAAATGGTGTCTGTTGTTCCGTCTTCCAGGCTTACTCTGTGGGTTTTGTTCTGGCAGCCCCAGCTGACAGAGGCAGCAGGGAAGGGACAGGTGGGCACCTGAATCAGAAGTCTGTGTAGGGAGGTGTCACAAGGAGGCAGGAAATAGATGTCTGTAGGAAGCCTTCCAGGAGATGCTGAGGGATTTGGCGACTTGTGGGGGAGAGAAGCCCAAGGGGCCTCCCAATTCTGTATCCTGGAAGATGGGAAAGACGGAGACGCCCCAAGCCAAGTGGATGCCACGGCTGAGTTGTGCCCCCTGGTTCATATGTTGGAGTCCTCAACGCAGTATCTCAGAATGGCACCTTATTTGAAGATAGGTCTTTACAGGGGTGATTAGTTCAAACATGGACCTAATGGAGTAGGGTGGGCCCTAGTCTAATCTGTGTCCTTATGCAAAGAGATGAGGACGCAGACACACACAGAGGGATGAGTACGTGAGGATATAGGGATGGCGGCATCAGTAAGCCACGGAGGGAGGCCTCAGGAGGACCCGGCCCTGAGGCACCTCGATGGCGGATTCCGGACTCCAGACTGTGAGACAATCCACTCCTGTTGCTTAAGCCACACGGTTTGTGGAGCAGCCCTAGCAAACTCACACAGCAGGGTACGGGGGGTTCCCAAATGCCTGGGAGTGCAACTCTGTGGAAAGTGTACATTTCTCTAATCACACAGAAGTTGAAACAAAAGAATCACAATGCAAACTCGTGGGAGGTGCAGATCGTATTTATTTAGAAGATCTAGCCTAGGCACTTACAAGGCGAAGCCCTGGGGAAAGAAACAGGGCCAGGTCGGAGGTAGAAGAGGAGACTGGGCGCCCCTCCTCCTCAGGAGAGGATCCTGGGGTCTCCAATAATTCCGAGTCCTCTAGGTCAACTCCAAAAGCAATCGGAGCGGTGGCAGCTCAGGCAGGATGAAGACGAAGCGGGGAGGAGCCAGGAGGTTGCGGGGACCGGGGAGAGGCGGCAGCAGGTCGGAGGATTCCAGTGTCAGCGTGTTTCCAGCAGGCTCACAGGAGGGGCCCAGGGATGTGGGATCTTGAAGCCCTGAGAAGGTTGAAGTGGTGGGGTCAGGAAAGGAAGACGGGATTCCGGGAGGGTTGATGGGCAGGACCCAGCATGCCAGAAGCCCTCATGACCTCAGAGGCTGAGCGGCTGAGTACTGAGCCCTGGACGCTAGGCTGCCTTAGTCCAGAGGAGGACAGATTCAGAGACGTGCTTCAGGAATTCAGGACACAGCTGCAATCATTCCTGGAGAGCCCGGATCTGTAGGACCCACTGAGGTTTGTGGGCAGAGCCTCAGATCTTGCACTGGCAGCAAATTGGGACACAGCAGCTGGACTGGGAGGAGCAGGGCTTGCAGCAGCTGGACTGGCAGCAGGATGACCCACAGCCTGAGGAGCAGCAGCAGGGCTTACAGCAGCTGGACTGGGAACAGCAGGGTTTGCAGCAGCTGGACTGGCAGCAGGATGACCCACAGCCTGAGGAGCAGCAGCAGGGCTTACAGCAGCTGGACTGGGAACAGCAGGGCTTACAGCAGCTGGACTGGGAGCAGCTGGGCTTGCAGCAGCTGGACTGGCAGCAGGATGACCCACAGCCTGAGGAGCAGCAGCAGGGCTTATAGCAGCTGCACTGGGAGCAGCCACAAGAACCGCAGCCCCCCTTGGAGCCCCCACGAAATCCACAGACCCCCTTGGAACCCCCACAGGAGCCACAGCTGGAGGAGCAGCAGACGGGCACACAGCAGCTGGAGCCACAGCCCCCCTTGGAGCCTCCACAGGAGCCACAGCCCCCCTTGCAGCCCCCACAAGAGCCACAGACCCCCTTGGAGCCCCCACAGGAGCCACAGCTGGAGCAGGAACAGGCTGGCACACAGCAGCACACGGGCTTGCAGCAGCAGACAGGTACACAGCAGCCGGAGCCACAGCCCCCATAGCCGGAGCCACAGCCCCCACAGCTGGAGCCACAGCCCCCACAGCTGGAGCCACAGCCTCCAGAGCAGCCAGAGCAGCCCATGGTTCTGGTGGGTTGAGGGTGGAGCAGGTAGAGGAGCAGGTGAGAGGGAGGTGTGCAGGTGTGGAGTTCTCTGAGCCCGGGCTCTTTATATTCCTGCCCAGGTGTTTATACTGAACACGTGAATACTTCTGTTGTTGTTTCTGCTATTTCACATGCACAAGTGTTATTTTTAATCTCTCCACAATCCCATGAGCCACCATCAGCTCAAGCCAAGCTGTCCTTTCCTTGGTTTCTAAATTTGGCCTCTTCCTCATAGGTGTTTCCCTTTGTTAGAAGACACTGGGCTCCCTCTCCAGTGGGTGTCCCAGGAGCCTGGGAGGCGGTGGTTGCTTGGCCGAAGGGTGGACCATTGTCCTTGGTGCTCAGGGCTCTCCTCAGCGATGCAGACCCTCCACCCCCTGGCATTGGTGTTTATATCAAGGATGGTCATTTGGTAAAAAATAAAATAAAATAAAAATTAAAAAAATAAGCTGAAAGAAAGGCTGTCTATAGGTTCCACCGCTTAAAAACTTCAAGTATAAATATTTTGTCAAATCTGTAAAACAAAGTTTTGAAGAGCATGGATTTGAGTGTGGCCCTGGTTCTCCTTTGTCTTTCTTACCTCTTCCTCCTGCGGTTTGGCTCACTCCTCCAGACACGGATTAGACCCACGTTCCCTTCAGGCAAGCTGGGCTCACAGAGGGAACAGAGGAACAGGACCCTTTCTAATGCTTTTGAGTTTTCCTCTATTAATTCTTTGTAAAAATTCTACAAATCAATGGATATTCTTCAAGTTTATTCTTCTTGAAGGCTACAAAAATTTTGATTAGCCAACCTCTCTAACACACTTTTATTTTCTAAAAGATTAATTTTAATATTTTTTTTTTGAGAAGGAGTATCGCTCTTGTCACCAGGGCTAAAGTGCAGTGACGCAATCTCGGCTCACTGCAATCTCTGCCTCCTGGGTTCAAGCAATTTTCCTGCCTCAGCCTCCCCAGTAGCTGGAATTACAGGCGCCCACCACCAGGCCTGGCTAATTTTTTTGTATTTTTAGTGAAGACAGAGTTTCACCATGTTGGGCAGGCTGGTTTCGAACTCCTGACCTCAGGTGAACCACCCGCCTCAGTCTCCCAAAGTGCTGGGATTACAGGTGTGAGCCACTGCACCCAGCCAAATTTTAATTTTTTATTAAGGTAAAATTTACATGCAGTGAAAAAAAATTTTTTTTCTGAGTCTCCCTCTGTCACCCAGGCTGGAGTGCAGTGATGCAATTTCAGCTCACTACAACCTCTGCCTCCCGAGTTCAAGCAATTCTCCTGCCTCAGCCTCCCAAGTAGCTGGGATTACAGGCACCCACCACCACACCCAGCTAATTTTGTATTTTTAGTAGAGACGGGGTTTCACTATGTTCGCCAGGCTGGTCTCGAACCCCTGACCTCAGGTGATCCACCTGCCTTGGCCTCCCAAAGTGTTGGGATTACAGGCATGAGCCACCAGGCTTGGGCTGCATTTTTTTTTTTTTTTTTTTGAGACGGGGTCGCATTCTGTCGCCCGGGCTGGAGGGCAGTGGTGTGATCCTAGCTCACTGCAGCCTTGGTCTCCTGGGCTCTGCACATATTTTGAGTGTACAATTCCATGAGTTCCGCTAAACATGTACTCGTGTGCCCATCACTCCAACCATGACCAACTGCTTCACCCCCAGAAGTTTCCCTTTCGCCGCCTTCCCTTCCTGCCCATCGCTCCAGGCACAGCTCTGCTGACCAGTTGTGCCTGTTGTTGAATGTTGCAAAAATGAAATCATTAAAAATGTACTCTGGTTTCTTTCCCTCACGATGTTATTCTGTGTGTCAATGATTTGCTCTTCTTCTTTTTTTTTTTTTTTTTTTTTTTTTGAGACAGGGTCTTGCTCTGTCACCCAGGCTGGAGTGCAGAGTGGTGCGCTCATGGCTCACTGCAGCCTCGACCTCCTGGGCTCAAGCGATCCACCTGCCCCAGCCTCCCAATGTGCTGGGATTACAGGCATGAGCCACCACGCCTGGCCTTCTTCTTCTTTTGTAATCACCGCATAGTGTTTCTGTAGCAGGGCGAGCCGCAGACAAGAACCCCTCAGACACTGAATTGTAGAAGGAAAGGGCTTTATTCAGCTGGGAGCATTGGCAGACTCAGGTCTCCAAAAACCAAGCTCCCCAAGTGAGCAATTCCTGTCCCTTTTAAGGGCTTACAACTCTAAGGGGGTCTGTGTGAGAGGGTCGTGATCGATTGAGCAAGCAGGGGGTACGTGACTGGGGGCTGCATGCACCGGCAATCAGAACGGAACAGGACAGGACAGGGATTTTCACAATGCTTTTCCATACAATGTCTGGAATCTATAGATAATATAACCGATTAGGTCAGGGGTCAATCTTTAACTACCAGGCCCAGGGTGTGGCACCGGGCTGTCTGCCTGTGGATTTAGTTTTTACTTCTTTTTTCTTTGGAGACAGAAATTGGGCATAAGAAAATATGAGGGGTGGGGCCCCCCTTATTCCATGTAAAAATATTCTCCACTGCGTTCCCCCGTTCTCACGTTCATACATATTTGAATCGTTCACAGTTTGGGGCGATGATGAATAACACATAATCATGCCTTCCAGTCCTTCCGTATTCATGTTTTTAGTTTTAATTTTTTGGTCAAATATTGAGGACTGGCCTTGCTAGACCATAGAGTAGTGTATGCTTAACTTGCTAAGAAACAGACAGCTTTCCAAATGCTCATGCTGCTTTCCCCCTCCCCAGCAATGCCTGAGAGTGTCCGCTGCCCCAGGCCTGTCAGTACCAGCCAGCGGCTTTTCAAATGTGAGGCATCGGATGGGTGTAAAATCGCATCTCGTGTGCATTTTGACCTGTGTTTCTCTGATGACTAATGTTCGCAAGGATTCTTTCTTGCACTTATTGGACATTTGCACATCTTTCTTGTTAAAAAGTTTTGCTAAAATTGTTTGCCCATTTTATTGTGATTTTTTTTTGTCTTTTTGTTATTGAGTTGTTGGAACTCTTCATAAATTCTATATCAAGAATGAATATGTGAAGTGCTTTGCCATATGTACGTATATATATTTACATATATATTTCATATACATGTGTATATGTGTGTATATAATATATATATGTAGAATATATATATTGTATATAATTTTCTAGTATTTGACTTGCCTTATTGTTATCTGAACTTTTTATATGGAAATGTTTTTGATTTTGAAGTCCACGTTAACATTTGTTTTGACAGCTAGTGCTTTCTTGTGACCTCTTTGAAAACCCTTTTTCCTAGCATTTCCTTTAGAAGCATTAGAGTTTTAGTTTCTATATTTAGTTCTATGATGGATCTCAAGCTAATTTTTGCGTGTAATGTGAGGTAGGAGTTGAGATCCATTTTTTCACATTTTCATCCAATTGTTTCAGCAGCATTTGATAAAAAGACCTTCCTGGCCAGGCGCAGTGGCTCACGCCTGGAATCCCAGCACTTTGGGAGGCCAAGGAGGGCAGATCACCTGAGGTCAGGAGTGCAAGACCAGCCTGGCCAACATGGCAAAACCCTGTCTCTACCAAAAATACAAAAATTAGCCAGACATGGTGGGGGGCGCCTGTAATCCCAGCTACTCAGGGGACTGAGGCAGGAGAATCGCTTTAACCCGGGAGGTAGAGGCTGCGGTGAGCCGAGACTGCAGCACTGCGCTCCAGCCTGGGTGACAGAGTGAGACTCTGTCTCGATATAAACAAACAAACAAACAAACAAACCGTGCTTATCCCACTGAAATCACTGGTGTTTTTAATGAGAATCAGCCGACACGATGGCGAGTTTCTTCCTGTGTCCCGCTCCGCAGGTCTGTATGCCGCTTCCTAATGCAAACACAGCGTCACTGTGACATTATGGGAGGTTTTGAAGTTAAGTATTGTGAGACTCCAACTTCATTCTTCTTTTTAAAGATTGTTTTGTTTGTTTCCAATTCCTTTACTTCTCCAGCTAAATTTTAGAACCAACTTGATCATCTCAAATACCAAAAAACCCGTTGCTGTTGCAATAGACAGCTGAGGCACGGGAAAGACCCTGGAGAGAGCCCCTGTGCCATGTGGGCAATTGGAGAAGGCTGAAGGCTGAAGCTGGAGTTCTAAGACTGGGAAATGCCTGCTCACTCCAGCCCCCACCCCCATCACCAGACTATGGAGCCCGTGGGAACAAAGGTAACTGCACCCACCAAGTCTTTGTCTTTCCTCTTTTCTTTTCTTTCTTTCTTTTTTTTTTTTTTTTGAGACGGAGTCTCGCTCTGTCACCCAGGCTGGATGCAGTGGCCCGATCTCGGCTCACTGCAAGCTCCGCCTCCCGGGTTCACGCCATTCTCCTGCCTCAGCCTCTCTGAGTAGCTGGGACTATAGGCGCCCGCCACCACGCCCTGCTAATTTTTTTTTTTTTTTTTTTGTATTTTTAGTAGAGACGGGGTTTCACCGTGGTCTCGATCTCCTGACCTCGTGATCTGCCCGCCTCGGCCTCCCAAAGTGCTGGGATTACAAGTGTGAGCCACTGCGCCCGACCTGTCTTTCCTCTTTTATAAAATGCCTGCTGATGTCTATGAGTTGGTTCCTCTGTTTAGTTGTTTTCTTTGCTTGCTAATTGGTGTGAGCTCTTTGGGTTTTCAAATGCTGAGCCACGGTCAGCTTTATTTTATTTTATTTTATTTTATTTTATTTTATTATTATTATACTTTAAGTTTTAGGGTACATGTGCACAACGGGCAGGTTTGTTACATATGTATCCATGTGCCATGTTGGTGTGCTGCTCCCATTACTCGTCATTTACTCAGCAAACTATCGTGTGGTCAGCTTTTATGTTGCAAGATCCTCCTTGGTTCATCTTTTCATTCTCGCGAGGCCTTCCCTTGTTAAATGAGAATCCTTGAGTGTTTAATTTTAACTTATCAATTCACCCACCTCTTCCTTTAGAATTAGAGTATTTGGGGCCTTATTTAGGAAATACTTCTCTGAGATCATGATATATTTTTCTGTAAAAGTTGAAAACTTTTGTCATCTGTTTTAAAATCTTGAATCAGGTATATGTGATGGTTAATTTTATGTGTCAATTTGGCTGGATCCCAGGGTGCCCGGATATTTGGCTGAATGTTATTTCTTGGTGGTCGGTGAGGGCAGTTTCTGGATGAGACCAGCATTGGGATCAGTGGACTCAGGAAAGCAGACGCCCTCCCCAATGTGGGTGGCTTCCTCTGATCCACTGAGGGCCCGAATAGATCAAAACGTGGAGGAAGTCCCTTTCTGCCTGACCGCTCCAGCTGGCACATCGGTCTCCTGCCCTCGGACTTACACTCACACCGTCAGCTCCCTGGTTCTCGGGCCTTTGGACTTGAACAGAATGACCCCGCCGGCTTTCCTAGGTCTTCAGCTTACAGACAGCAGATCATGGAGCTGCTCAGCCTCCAGAATCGCATGGGCCAATTCTTCATAATCATCTGTGTATCTGTGTATCTCTCTCTGTGTGTATGTATGTATGTATGTATCTATCTATCTATCTATCTATGTAACTATGTAGCTATGTATCTATTTATCTATGCATGTATCTATCATCTATGTATCTATATATGTATCTATCCATCTATGTATCTATCTTTGTATCTATGTATCCATGTATCTATCTGTGTATCTATGTAAGTATGTATCTATCTATGTAGCTATCTAACTATGTATCTGTCTATGTAGCTATCTATCTACCTATCATCTATTTATTTATGTATGTATCTACCTATGTATGTATCTATGTGTCTATGTATCTATCTATCATCTATGTATCTCTATATATATCCATCTATGTATCTATATGTCTATTATCTATCTTTGTATCTATCTATCCATTTATGTATCTATTATCTATGTATGTATGCATCTATCTATCTATCTAATCTACCTATGTACCTAATCTCCCACTGGTTCTGTGTCTCTGGAGAACCCTGATTAATGCAGTATAGATTTTTGTGTATTCGTGTGGAAACTGCCTTTCTCGGCATGTTTTCTTTTCCAGCCCCTCGGTCACCCAGTGTCAGTCAGGATGGCCTGGGTTGTGCTGCAGCAACAAACCACACCAAGATCTCAGTAGCTGAGTCAACCCACACCTCCCACCACCACAAGACACCTGGGGCTCTGCCTCTTATTCCATAACCCAGGCAGCCAGTTGCTGTGACAGAGGAAAAGAAAAATATACTATTCATAATAGAATTCAGCAGTATATTAAAAAGAATTTTGGCTTACAGGCATGGTGGCTCATGCCTGTAATCTCAACACTGTAAGAGGCCAAGGCGGGAGGATCACTTGAGTCCAGGATTTTGAGACCAGTCTAGGCAACTTAGGGAGACCCCATCTCTACAAAAAAAAAAAAAAAAAAGGCATACTGATGTGCACCTGTGGTCCCAGCTACTTGGGAGGCTGAGTTGGGAGGATCACTTGAGCCTGGAAGATCAAGGGGACGGTGAGCCATTATTGCACCACTGCACTCCAGCCTGGGCAACAAAGTGAGAACCTGTCTAAAAATAATAGTAAATAAATAATAAATAAAATAACTTTGCACCCTAACCAAAATATTTACAAACCACATATCTGACAAAGGACTGGAATATACAAATCTAGACCATGTAAAGAACTCTCAAAACACAACAGCAAATCATACATAAACACAAAAACAATCCGATCCAAAAATGGGCAAAAGACTTGAAGAGACAATTCTCTGAAGAGGACGTACAGTGGCAAATAAGGATGTGAGAGGAAGTTTGACATCCTCAGACTTTAGGAAAGACAAACTAACCAGTAATGCGATATCATGATGCCCCTATGAGAATGGCTTAACAAAAAAATAGCAGCGACACCAAATGCTGGCAAAAGGCAGAGAAGCTGGGCCACTCGTATGTTGATGGTGGGAATGCAAAATGGTACAGCCACTCTGGAAGATAGGTTGGCAGCTTATGAAAAAAACTAACCACACAACCGCCATTCAACACAGCAATCTCACTCCTGGGCATTTATCCCAGAGACATGTGCACACGGAAAACCTGTCCACAAATGTTAATAGGAGGCTTATTCATGATCACCAAATGCTGGAGACACCCACATGTCCCTTGATGGGTGAAGGGGAAACACACTGGTTCACCTCTGCCAGGGGACACGTCTCAGCCATGAAATGGCAGGAATGACAGACGCTCGATGACCCAGATGAATCTCCAGAGAATCATGCTGGGTAGGAAAAGCCAGTCTTAAAAGGTTACACACTGTGTGTTTCCATTCATGGAGCATTCTCGAAATGACAAAATTACAGAAATGGAGAACAGGAGGGAAATGTGGGGGCTGCATCAGGGCAACGCGTGGGGTCCTTGCTAGAGAAATGATCTGTATTGTGACCGTGCCAAGGTCAATATCACTGTGTTGTTATGTTACCTGCATTCCAGATGCTGTCACCGGGGACATGGGAAAGGGTACATGAGATCCCCTTTGTGTCTTCTTACGAGTAACTTCTTACGAGTAACTTCTTATGAGTAACTGCAGGTGAATCTACAATCACCCGAATATAAAAAGTTAAATTGAAAAAAGAGTGCATACCTCACAGATACTCAGGGAGTCATGTTTATAAAGTGTGTGGGAGAGTAGCTGGAATGCACGAGGTGCTGTCAATATCGGGTGGTGGCAGTGAAGGCGGTCATTGGATAAATCACCAATTAGGCAATTGGCGAATCAGATTCCAAATACTTTTCCAAGGTAGAACCTTGGAGATTTGCTGTTGGATTGGATGTGGAGGGTGGAAGAGGAGTCAAGAGGATGCCCAGGCTTCTATCCTGAGCCCTGGGAAGGATGGAGCTGCTGTGAACTACAATGGGGAAGGCTGGGAAGGCGTTGGTTCCAGGGGAAGGAGGAGGAGTTCAGTCTGGGATGTGCTTAGTTTGAAAGGCCAGATGTCCATGAGAAGCAGGCACCTGGGCCTGTGAGTGTGGAACCTAGAGGGGAAGGTGTTGTGAGAGACATGGAGGAGGTCGCAGGTGAGATAGAGACCCCCCGGCTGAACCTGGCACCGCCCAGTGCTCAGGGCCTGGAGGAGGAGAATTAAGCAATGGAGACTGAGGTGGAGTGGCTGGTGGCACAGAAAGGAAGCCAGGGCTCTGCACTGGGCTGGCTCTGTCCCTACATAGATAGATAGATAGATAGATAGATAGGTACATAGATACATAGATACACACATGGATACATACATGGATACATAGATACGTAGCTAGCTAGCTAGATACAGACATACATACATACACACATACATACATAGATGGATACATAGATACATAGATAGATACATACATACATAGATGGATACATAGATAGGTACTTACATACATACATAGATGGATATAGAGATACGTAGATGATCGATAGATACGTAAATAGATACATAGATACATACGTACATGCATACATAGATGGATACATAGATACATAGATAGGTACTTACATACTTACATAGATGGATACAGAGATACCTAGATGATCGATAGATACATAGATAAATAGATACATAGATAGATACATAGATGATTCTGAAGAATTGGACCCTGCAATTATGGAAGTTGAGCAACTCCACAATCTGCTGTCTGTAAGCTGAAGGTGTCCCCTGCTTGTTTCCAGACTGAGTCTGGTTCCCCGATCACTCTGACCAGAGATTCATGCTAAGATGCTCCCTCGGTGACCACTCCACAACCAGCCAACATCTCTAGGCTCCATACAGGGTCTCCCTGTGCTCATTGTAAATCATCAGGCCTTCAAAATATTCACTAGTGGCAGTGGTGCATGCCTGTAGTACCAGCTACTCGAGAGACTGAGGCAGGAGGATCCCTTGAGCCCAGGAGTTCGAGACCAGCCTGGGCAACACAGTGAGACTCTATCTCTATTAAAAACAAGAAGAGGAAGGTAAAAAAGAAAATAATCACAAACAAGTAAACAAGCTGACAATGTCATTTATTTATTTATTTTTTATTTATTTGAGACAGGGTCTCACTCTGTCACCCAGGCTGGAGTGTAGCAGTGCAATCATAACTCACTGTAGCCTCAACCTCCCAGGCTCAAGAGATTCTTCCACCTTAGCCTCCCCATTAGCTGGGACTGCAGGTGTGCACCACCATGCCCAGCTAATTCTTTCATTTTTCTGCAGAGACGGGGTCTTGCTATGTCACCCAGGTTGGTCTTGAACTCCTGAGCTAAAGTGTTCCTTCTTCCTTAACCTCCCAAAGTACTGGGATTACAGGAGTGAGCCAAGCCCAAGCTGACTACTTCTTTTTTTTTTGAGACAGAGTCTTGCTCTGTCACCCAGGCTGGAGTGCAGTGGCACCATCTCGGCTCACTGCAAGCTCCGCCTCCTGGGTTAACACCATTCTCCTGCCTCAGCCTCCCGAGTAGCTGGGACTACAGGCGCCCACCACCACATCTGGCTAATTTTTTCTTTTTTTGTATTTTTAGCACAGATGGGGCCAAGCTGACCACTTCCAAAAGTGTTCTCCACTCAAGCAGCTCGTTTACTTAACAATATCACTTATTCCCACACACCCCCTCCCAAATGTCTTTCATGTCTTTGCAGAACCAGCTCTCTTAAATACATTTTCCACAGTCATATTTACGATGCAGATTTTAAGTAAAATTGCAATGCTTGCAAGAAAAGAAACGTAGGATTCTGTGATGTCACTGAAAGTGACATTGGAGAACATCTGCTGGGAGCCAGGCAAGGCCACCACGGTGAAGATCAGGCGGTTCACCCTGAAAGAGAAGCTGGTCAAGGAGGCAAGATAGAGGCTTCCCAATGGGGTGAGTTGACCTCAAAGAGAGGCGTCCGTGAAGGATGAGAAGGAGCTCAGTTGTTTTTGCTACGCGACTCCCTTCAGCGTCATTCTGTCACGGCCAACTGTGAAATGAAGGATGTTGCAGCAGGCAATCCTATGATTTTATCAAAAAATTATGCATAAAATGTCCAACACGTGATTTTCTCTTTGTTGATTTCATGGAGAGTTACAACTATGTCTTAAATCTTGCTAACAATCATGTGACATCTGTTCATTATTAAGGAAGGTTTTGGGTTTCTTTCTCTTTCTCTTCTACCCCCACACCACAAGCACAGACAGCATTGGTTCTGTTGGGCCTGTTTCCAACGAATGGCTGGCGGCAGGCTCTTCTCTGGTGCCCATTACCGTGGTAGTGAGGCCATCTTTGATCTGCAGGTCACTGGGTCCTGCCTGGGCCAAACACCTCCCCCTCTTCCCTGCAGAAACCTCTTCATCACACAGCAGGACATGAATTTACCCACAGGAGCCACAGGCCAAGCAAAGAGAACGCCAAGTGAGCCATGGGGGGAGAAGTTTCCGGCGTCTTCTTCCGGACCCACTGACCCCACAGCAGCCCCTCCTGCCCCACTGGCCAGGCTGGAGGCAGCTACCAACTCCCTACCTCAGTGTGGTCTGTTCTCATGGAACCTCATCAAAGTGTACCCTTAAAAAGGGTTCCTTTTAGCCGAGCACGGTGGCTCATGCCTGTAATCCCAGGACTTTGGGAGGCTGAGGCAGGCGGATCATGAGGTCAGAAGATCGAGACCATCCTGGCTAACACGGTGAAACCTCATCTCTACTAAAAATACAGAAAAAAAAAATTAGCCAGTCGTGGTGGTGGGCGCCTGTAGTCCCAGCTACTTGGGAGGCTGAGGTAGGAGAATGGTGTGAACCTGGGAGGCAGAGCTTGCAGTGAGCCGAGATCGTGCCACTACACTCCAGCCTGGGCAACAGAGTGAGACTCCGTCTCAAATAAAAAAAAGAAAAAAAAAAAATTCCTTTCATTTGAGCTTCAATTGTTCTTTGCTGCTCAAAAGCCTTCTAAGTCTTACCATTTACCAGGCAGAACTGAGAACTCTGTAGCTCCCCAGGTTTCTCCAGGCTTTCTAGAACTTTCCTCCTGGCTGGCAAATCAGCCGGTTCTTTCGAGCTCACCCTGTTCTTGTAATGCTTTGATAAATGCAGCCACAACGACCCACGTGGGAGTGGCATTGTGTTTTCTGAACTCTTCCCTCAGGGATACACGATCTGGGACAGTCTTACCAAACACATAATAACTACCTTTCTCACCTCTAATAACTTTCCTTTCCACCCACCCTCTGACCAATAAACCAGGCCCACAATGCTATGTTTTTGTTCTGGTAGGTTTCTGGGTCAACCAGGATAGACCAATTACGCTGCTCACACGCGCCACCCCCACGTTTCAGTGACTTCACACGACACAGGCTTACTTCCTGTTCATATCCCAGGCCACTGCACGTCAGCTGGTGACTCTGCTCTGTGCTTCGTCACTCTGGGACTCAGTCGGAAGCAGCAGCCACTGCTTGGAATGTTGGTGGTCATGGTAGGAGAAGAAACGGAGAATGCAGAAGACTGCAGCAGGTGCTTCAAACTTCTTCCCACTGACGCAAGCAAATCACATGGCCACACCTGACTTAGAGAGGGCTCATGGAAGGGCCACCCTACCACCTGCCATCCAACCTGTTCCCAGAAGGAGAGGAGAACCAGGATGCCTACAAATAGCCCTAATTACCACCCCATTCTGGGCTCTGTGTGGCAATGCTGCCAGTCCTATAGATAGGTTTTTGCCTAAATGAGCTTAAGCTTTTTTTTTTTTTTTACTCCAACATATGCATTTAAGGCTATAAATTTTTCTCTAAGCACTGATTTGGCTGCATGCAGTAAATTTGATAGCCCCATTATTTCATTAGGGGTTACAAAATGGTTAGCTTCTAATTCTACGATTTCTTCTTTATTTATAAACTGGAATACTTCCTCTAATTTTTTGGTTACCGTAAGATAGAGTTTCTCTATCAGAGATAGAATAAGTGCCTGATTATTTTCCTTTATATAGTCATCTTCGAAATAATGACTTGATTCCTAGAATCCTCTAAAGGCAACTAAATTTTACAGTTTGCATAGTATCTCTATTATTATTTGTGTATGTATGTGTGTGCGTATGATTACTCACTCCTAGTTTAAACATATTTGATGTGTATCAGTCCAGTTAAGAAATTGGTGTTCAGATTGTTTCAAGTCTGTCTATACAGAGTTTCTCCAGGTTTGACTCTTACCTTTTTTTTTTTCTTTTTTTGAGACGGACGAGAGGCAGCGGAGACAGCCAGCCCCATCCTAGCACCTTCCAGCAACATCACCATCAGACTCACGGAGTCCGAAATATAACAAGAATAAGAAAACAATAGCCATAGCCATAGTAATGACACCGAACAACAGAGAAATCAGCAAGATATGTGTTTCAGTTTGTCGGCATGGTATTTTTATTAGTTTGCAACTTTCTGTTTAAGATAAAGCAGTGTGATCCTGGTTAACATGGTGAAACCCTGTCTCTACTAATAATAATAAAAAAAAAATTAGCCGGGCGTGGTGGCGGGCACCTGTAGTCCCAGCTACTGGGGAGGCTGAGGCAGGAGAATGGAGTGAACCCGGGAGGCGGAGCTTGCAGTGAGCCGAGATGGTGCCACTGCACTCCAGCCTGGGTGACAGTGCGAGACTCCATCTCAAAAAAAAAAAAAAAAAAAAAAAGATACAGCAGAGTGTTGGACATGCAAAGCCACTCCAAGGAAGCCTCTTAAACGCCCACCTTGTTGCAGGTGGGACGCTTATGCCCAGCTGCTCCAGCTGGAAAAGACAGGACTGCAAGTGGGTTCAGGAGCTCAGGCCTCTGAAAAGATGAGCAAAGGCGAGGCTAGTGGGTGAGGGGTGATTCAGCTGCAATTGCAGTTGACTTGGGGAGAGAATTTGTTAGGAGAGACAATGGACATTAATTAGGGTGGACTCTTCTTAGGAAAAGGCAGCCAGATATGGCATCGTTCTACAGCAGGGAATGGACCCTGAGCAATGATTTGGGGCTCAACAATGAAGGACAGGTCACAGCTTTGGAAGACAGGATTAGCAGGACTCACATGAGGCCTGAGTCCAGAGCCTCAGATCTTACACTGGCAGCACACAGGGACACAGCAACTAGACTGGGAGCAGCAGGGATTGCAGCAACTGGACTGGCAGCAGGATGACCCACAACCTGAGGAGGAGCAGCAGGGCTTACAGCAGCTGGACTGGCAGCAGTAGGGCTTGCAGCAGCTGGACTGGCAGCAGGATGACCCACAACCTGAGGAGGAGCAGCAGGGCTTACAGCAGCTGGACTGGCAGCAGGATGACCCACAGCCTGAAGAGAAGCAGCAGGGCTTACAGCAGCTGCACTGGGAGCAGCCACAAGAGCCACAGCCTCCTTTGGAGCCCCCACAGGAGCCACAGCCCCCCTTGGAACCCCCACAGGAGCCACAGCCCCCCTTGGAGCCCCCACAGGAGCCACAGCCCCCCTTGGAACCCCCACAGGAGACACAGCCCCCCTTGGAACCCCCACAAGAGCCATAGCCCCCCTTGGAGCCCCCACAGGAGCCACAGCTGGAGCAGGAACAGGCTGGCACACAGCAGCACACAGGTTTGCAGCAGCAGATGGGCACACAGCAGCTGGAGCCACAGCCCCCACAGCCGGAGCCACAGCCCCCACAGCCGGAGCCACAGCCCCCACAGCCAGAGCCACAGCCCCCACAGCCGGAGCCACAGCCCCCACAGCCGGAGCCACAGCCTCCAGAGCAGCCACAGCAGCCCATGGTTCTGGTGGATTGAGGGTGGAGCAGGTAGAGGAGCAGATGAGATGGAGGTGCAGGTGTGGAGCCCCCTGAGCCTGGACCCCCTTATATCCCTGGGTAGGGTTGCTCTGAGACCTTGGTCACTCCATCATTCCCAGCACTTCCTGGGTATGTGATTATTTGTTTGCTGGACTTCGGGTTCTCATTGGCCTGATCCAACACCCACCTGCTTATGTTTCTAAATGTAGTCACTTCCTCCTTGGAACTGGACCTTGTACTGAACTGATCACCTGCCTTCTGTTTTCCTCATGTGATGGGCAGAGGATGGGTTTTCTACAAAGATCATTTTGGTTGTTTTCTTCCCATCTTTTCTTCCCACCTATGGCATTATATTTTTCTTTGAAACTGTGAACTTTGTGTGAAGATAATTTTTTAAAAACTAAGCTTTCATCCATATAATTAAAGAGGCTAATTGAGGAACCAACGTTGTATCTTGGTTCTGTCTTAACACATTGGTGCACTGCAGTGAATCTCTCCTCCGCCAGCCTCAGGTCGTGGGGTGCTCAGGACTCCTGGCTGCTGCATACACAGCCTCACGTGGTGAGTATTGTTTATGTTAAAAATCTCAGGAATTTCATGGGTGGATGGGGGATCTCATTTATCATCCTGTTGTTAATCTCTTCAATTAACTATTAGTGAGGGTGATTCTTTTACTCCAATATAAATTATATACTTTTTTATTGGCCAGGCACAGTGGCTCACACCTATAATCCCAGCACTTTGGGAGACCAAGGTGGGCGAATCACGAGGTCAGGAGATCGAGAACATCCTGGCTAACATGGTGAAACCCCGTCTCTACTAAAAGTACAAAAAGTTAGCCGGGCGTGGTGGCGGGCGCCTGTAGTTCCAGCTACTCAGGAGGCTGAGGCAGGAGAATGGTGTGAACCTGGGAGGTGGAGCTTGCAGTGAGCCGAGATCATGCCACTGCACTCCAGCCTGGGCGACAGAGCAAGACTCCGTCTCAAAAAAAAAAAAAAAAAATTTATACCTTTTTGACTTCTCATTACTGCTTTAAAAGTTATTTGGATATTGAGAGAACAAATCCCTTGTGTTCAAACAGTGTACTTTGTTTTTCCACAGGCATGTACTTGAGTTTAATTTCTGACGTTTTTAAAAGCCATTCTCACTTTGTCTTAATTGTCATTTTTAGCCTCGCCAACATTATTAGATGGTATAAAAATGAATGTCTTTCAGCCGGGCGCGCTGGCTCACGCCTGTCATCCCAGCACTTTGGGAGGCCCAGGCGGGCGGATCACGAGGTCAGGAGATCGAGACCATCCTGGCTAACATGGTGAAACCCCGTCTCTACTAAAAATACAAAAAAAAATTAGCCGGGCGTGGTGGCAGACGCCTGTAGTCCCAGCTCCTTGGGAGGCTGAGGCAGGAGAATGGCGTGAACCCGGCAGGCGGAGCTTGCAGTGAGCCGAGATCGTGCCACTGCACTCCAGCCTGGGCGACAGAGCAAGACTCCATCTCAAAAAAAAAAAAAAGAAAAAAAAAAAAAAGAATGTCTTTCAAGCTTGGGATAAAGGCCTTGTCTTATCTGGAAGAGGCGAGAGAGGGGTTATAGGTTCCGTCGTTCCCATTGCTAATGGGAGCTGTGGGGCAGGGGACTGAGAGAAACCCACAGAGAGGGAAGTGCCTGCTGTGCTGAAAATGGCTTCTTCCTAGGGAACACACTGGGTCAGAGGATGCAGCCCTGTGTGGCAACAGTTCACGCCTCCCGACTAGGCGCGGTGAGGCTGGGATGGGGACACTTCATAAGACCTGGATTGTGAGCACAGAGCCCAGGCATCCTAACAAAGCTGTCCCCCACCAGCCCTGCGCGAGGCCGCACTGGACATGAGCAGACCATCACGCACCCCAGGTGCTCACCAGAGCTTGGCAGCTCCGCCCTCAGGTGCTGGGTAAAGGGAACCAGGAGCATCCCATTTTGTTTCAACATAGGTAGAAGATCTAGACAGGATTGGCCAAACCCAAGAGAGGTAACATGAGATTCTGTAACAGCTATGAAAACAAACCTTAAAAAACAAAAGGAGGAGGAAAGGAAGGAGACAAACCTTTCTAAGCAAACTTGTCATCCGGGAGACAAAAGTAGATTTCCTGCAAATGGTTGAGTTATGCAACAAATAATAACAAATATGGCAGCAAATTACAAATATGGCATACTAACTTTAATAGGGCTCTCAGTTGAGATGGTAAAATTATAGAGTAAGTTTTATTTTGTTTATTTGTTTATTTTTTGAGACGGAGTTTTGCTCTTTCACCCAGGCTGGAGTGCAATGATGTGATCTCAGCTCACTGCAAACTCTGCCTCCCAGGTTCAACTGATTCTCCTGCCTCAGCCTCTGAAGTAGCTGAGATTACAGGCACGTGCCACCACACCCCACTAATTTTTGTTTTTTTTAGTAGAGACAGGGTTTCACCATGTTGGCCAGGCTGTTCTCAAACTCCTGAGCTCAAGTGATCCGCCCACCTTGGCCTCCCAAAGTGCTGGGATTACAGGCGTGAGCCTCTGCGTCTGGCCTATAGAGTAAGTTTTAAAAGGAAGAGCGGAGGCCTCAGGGAATAAATGAGCACCAGAAGTCATTACAGTTCGAGTCGGTGATTAGGAAGAGTGAGGGGCAGAACGGAGGTGGCTGGGACTTGGGTCGCTGGCATCCGAGAAGGGCGCGAGATGCTCACAGTGTGGCTAAAGCACAAAGCCGTGGAATCAGCCAGAGAGAGGCTGGCGAACGGGGAGGACAGGAAAGCTGCAGCATCGGTGTAAGCAGTGGAGGCTTTAACAAATGGAGCAGAAAGCAGATTCAAAGGCCAGAAAAATGCACCATGACCCGCAGGAAGATCTGAAAGTTTAGCCCCAAAGAGCGTAACATGCTCCAGGAAAGAATGAAGGCGGAATGCTGAGTACTGAGCCCGTGGTGGTTTGGTGACAGAACTCCAAAGGCTGAATCAACATTGCCGCTTCTGCAAATCCCTGGCCAGTCTGCCGTGGCTGTCAGGGCTGAGGAGGGTGCTCATAGCTAGCTGCTCCTAGATGCTCCTCGGAGAGGTCATAAACCCAAAGATAGGGGATCAATTTCTCCAAAAAGGACAAAACCAAAACATGACCCAAGAACATGGTGACAAAACGTCCTTCAAATAGAAGAAAACAGGAACACAGCCTCCAAAATGGCAGAAATCTAAGACGACAGCACCTGGGACTCGGGAAAATCATATGGACCCTACACAATTGGGATTCATTCCAATTAAAGGAGTGAGGCAGGGATAGGCAAGGCAGGAAGGGCTGAGGACAGTAGAATGAAGACCAACATTGAGTAATTAACTACACGGGCGATGGTGAGTTACGGAGCCCACCTGCATTCCCAGAGAGAAAAATTAACCTGATGACATCTCTGCTCTCCACCTCCTCAGGCCCCTTCCACAACCTCCAGGTGGGTGGGGGTTAGAGCCATGGAAGGACCCGGTGACCTAGGGCAGGGGTCCCCAACCCTCAGGCCACAGTCCATGGCCTGTTAGGAACCAGGCCACACAGCAGGAGGTGAGTGGAAGGCGTGCAAGCATGACCTCCTGAGCTGCACCTCCCGTCCCTTCAGCCGCCACATTCGATTCTCATAGGAGCCAGAACCCTACTGTCAAGTGCGCACGCGAGGGATCTAGGGTGCGTGCTCCTTACGAGAATCTAACTAATCCCTAATGATCTGAGATGGAAGAGTTTCATCCTGAAACCAGCCCCCACCCACCCCCTGGGTCCGTGGAAAAATTTTCCTCTACAAAACCGGTTCCTCGTGCCAAAAGAAGGTGGTGGTTGCTGCCCTCGGGTGCTCTTGAAAATGGCCCTGCATTGTGGCTGGGCTGCTGTCTCCCTGGTGGGCGGCGATCCTGGCCCCTCACCACACCCGTGGGCCAGCACTGTCTCTACCATCTCGTGGGTGCTACTGTTTCCATACTTTTCTTATTTTTATATTTTCCTTTTCGTAGGCTTTTAGATTCTCTTTTCTTGCTTCTATGGACTTGCTGAAGCTTCTTTCTTCCTTTCTCCTCTTTTTCTGCTGGTTTGCACTGATGTTTTTGTTTCTACTTTTCCCCAGTGGTGACTGTGAACATTTTAACATGCATGTTTAACGCAGTCTGAGATCAGCCACTATCTTCCCCTGGCCCCTCACAGAGGCAGGTGCTCCCCTCAGACTAGCATCTCCTGTGTCAACCTGAGTGCCGTCCAGTGTTTCAGATCCGCCTCCTTCCTGTACCCCCAGCGAGTCATGAGCATCCTACCCTTCATTTCTTCTTTATATACAGCACATTTACCTTCACGAGAACCTCATACTTCCTTCCGGAAATTATCAATTTGAAGAAGACACTTCTGTCCCTCAGCTCATGGTCAGGCACGCCATAGCTAATTGTTACACCTGCTGAGGTGGACGTGTGAATTCTCTCCCTCAAGGCACTTTTGTAATGAGTTACAATGATACATTTCCTGACGGTGAGCCATCTTAACATTCTTGGAACAAACCCTACTTATGACTTGCTATTTTTAAATAATCATATTGGAGTCTTTAATATTTGATTCAGAAATTGTGTGTATTTGTTAATAACGAAATGAAGTTAAAATTTTCTTGTGTTTTACTGGCCTTACCTTTTTCTTTTTTCTTTTTTTTCTTTTTTGAGACAGAGTCAAGCTCTGTCACCCAGGCTGGAGTGCAGTGGTGCAATCATAGCTCCCTGCAGCCTCGACCTCCTGGGCTCAAGAAATCCTCCCACCTCAGCCTCCCGAGTAGCTGGGACTACAGGTGTGCGCTCACAGGCCCAGCTAATTTTTGTACATTTTTGTAGAGATGAGATATCACTATGTTACCCAGACTGGTCTCAAACTCCTGGGCTCAAGTGATCCTCCCACCTCAGCCTCCCAAAATGCTGGGATTGCAGATGTGAGCACCCACACACAGCCCTTTTCATTCTTCTCTGTCAGGCCCCAAATGTTCCTGGGTGGTTCTGGCTGGGGGTCTGAGGCTGCATCCCCTGAAGGCTCGGCTGGTATTGGACCCACTTCCAGGATGGTACATGCCTTGGCTTGTGGGTGGGAGGCCTCAGCTTCTCACCTGCAGGCCTCTCCACAGGGCTGCTATTGGCACAGGATCTGGCTTCACCCAGAAGGAGTAGTACTGAGAGAGAGAGAGAGAGAGAGACAGAGAGACAGAGAGAGACAGAGAGAGAGGCAAGTGTTGTACCACCCTTCATGTCCTAGCCTCCAAGCCCCGTGCCATCATGCTGTCTGCCGTCTTCGTCGCGAGAAACATACTGTGCTGCTGGCCTTCTCCTTGTTGCTTCTTCTGCAAGTCCTTCTGCTGGAGCCTTCTCTGCTGTGCGGCATCAGCCAGCACTTTACTATCCCAGGAAAAACCGCCCCTGAGCCTTCCTCTCATCTGAGTGTGGTTTCAGGTGGTGGAGGAGTGAAAATCTGTGGGGTCAGCCTAGCTCGTTTTAGGAGGAGAAATCCTTCCAGCTCTCTCTTACCTGGTGCCCCCTTTTCTGTTGGGTTCTTGATCTGGAGCCTACAGATACAGGTGGACATCAGATCCTGTCTGGATACTGCACAGTTTTATGTAAAGTTGTGTGTTTTTGTGCATGTTTGTAGACTTGTTTAAAGAGAGGCTCTGTAAAATTCCACAGAGGAATCTACGAACCCACAGTAGTTAAGAATGGGTCTGCAGAGGTAGTTCCTAATGTGGAGCACAGGAGCAAAGTCTACAACATACTCATGTCTGCTTTACGCTGAAAAGGTGAAAAAAATTAAAATTAACTAAAATTAAAATAGCAAATGACTAGACAGGAGCATATGCACCTTATATAATACACACATTTCAGGGGGCATTTGCTCAAAAGCTACATAATCGTGGGGTGCCCCACGGGACAGGGTGAGACCACTGCCATGTTGATTGTTCCATCAGAGCATTGTAAGAGGCCCTCTGATGATCCTCTTTGCCCAATTCAGCGAACCCGAAGGTCATCAATGGACCACGAAGAACAAAGGCCCATGAAAGGGAAGATGTTCCCAAAGTACAAAAGGAAAAGTCCTCTTGTACCCGAGGGAAGGAGCTGATCCAAGGGTGTCACTAGGAGTCAGCGCGGGTGTTGATACATTACTTCAGGGGCTGGAGGCAAATATACGAGGTACTGGAAGCAAATGTATCAAGCACTGGGACAAATGTATCAGGCGCTGGATGCAAATGTATCAGGCACTGGATGCGAATGTATCAGGCGCTGGATGCGAATGTATCAGGCGCTGGATGCGAATGTATCAGGCGCTGGATGCGAACGTATCAGGCGCTGGATGCGAATGTATCAGGCGCTGGATGCGAATGTATCAGGAAGCAAATGTATCTGTTGCCTCTGTTCCAGAGCTGGAGGATGCCGCCTCTGGTGGGGACAGCCAACACAAGGCGGCTCTCTCCTAATGGGTTTTCTGTTCCTCCCTGAGATACAGTCCCCTGCCCCAGAACAGAGTGGGGCTCCAGCATACACGGCAAGAGTCACCGAGTGCCAGCTGGTGTTTACACCGTGGCCTGAGGCCTGTTGACTGGGCTCGGGGCACTCACAGGTATTGTGGTCACGGGGGCAAATGGCCATCCGGTTCCCTGCTCTCCACCGGCTTTCTTTAGCATCCAGTGGGCCTGCACCCGAATGTAGTTGCTGCTTCCCAGGCTGAGCCCGGGACCCGGAGCAGGCGGGCACCCAGACAGGGCATCCTCTTCCGCTCACTGGCCCTGAAAGGGCCTCTGCCATCAGCCTGTGCCGCTGTCCGGGAGCCCCTGGGCCGGCCACGCAGTGGGGGAACCCGCTTCACAGCGACACCGTGCGGCGGCAGGAGGAACCGCTGCAGGAGACAATGCGATCTGGGTCCTGACCCAGCGCAGAGGCAGTGTCTGCCCCTTGCAATGCTTGGATTTCCTTCCTCAAAAGGCAGCCTTCGATGATCTGAAATTCAAGTTCCAGCAGGCATCCTGTACTGTATCTGTCAGCCCTGCCACCCGAGTGGTCTGAAAGCCCTGGAAGAGACCGCGGTTATCACAGGAGAACACTTTCCATGGGGAGCACGCAGCAAGCTCCAGAATAAGCGCTTAAAATCCCCGTCTCAGTCAACACTGCAAACCTTCCAACAAAGTCTTACACCGAAAACGACCCTGCTGAGCTGAGGGCTGAAGCCCCAGGTCCTGGGACCCTTGGAAACAGCCCGCGGGCCAGGAGCTGCTGTGGACCGTGAAGGTGTAGGGCCTAGGCACGTCCCAAGCAAGACACGATGCTCCCGCAGAGGAATCTTCCCGGGAGCAAGCCAGGAGTCCTGGGCTCAAAATCACCCTCGGCAAGACCAAGGCCTCTGAGCGAGCCACTGCCTGCCCATCGCTTCCTTCTTGTCACATGGAAAGGGAAACTCACCGCGGGGCCAGTGTTTACTGAGGGGCCGCTTCCATCACAGACCTGACAGCACATTCGAGAAAAGTGCGAGGAAAACAGGAGTTATTTATAAAAATGTAAAGCAGAAGAGAATACTGGGACCAGTGGCACAAGCAGGAACCAGGAAGTGACAGTGTGCCCAGCCTCTCACCTGACCCTGGACAGGGATATAAAGAGCCCGGGCTCAGGGGGCTCCACACCTGCACCTCCCTCTCACCTGCTCCTCTACCTGCTCCACCCTCAATCCACCAGAACCATGGGCTGCTGTGGCTGCTCCGGAGGCTGTGGCTCCGGCTGTGGAGGCCGTGGCTCCGGCTGTGGGGGCTGTGGCTCCGGCTGTGGAGGCTGTGGCTCTGGCTGTGGGGGCTGTGGCTCCGGCTGTGGAGGCTGTGGGGGCTGTGGCTCCGGCTGTGCGGGCTGTGGGGGATGTGGCTCCGGCTGCTGTGTGCCTGTCTGCTGCTGCAAGCCCATGTGCTGCTGTGTGCCAGCTTGTTCCTGCTCCAGCTGTGGCAAAGGGGGCTGTGGCTCTTGCGGGGGCTCCAAGAGAGGCTGTGTCTCCTGTGGGGTGTCCAAGGGGGCCTGTGGCTCCTGTGGGGGGTCCAAGGGGGGCTGTGGCTCCTGTGGGGGGTCCAAGGGGGGCTGTGGCTCCTGTGGGGGGTCCAAGGGGGGCTGTGGCTCCTGTGGGGGGTCCAAGGGGGGCTGTGGTTCTTATGGCTGCTCCCAGTCCAGCTGCTGCAAGCCCTGCTGCTGCTCCTCAGGCTGTGGGTCATCCTGCTGCCAGTCCAGCTGCTGTAAGCCTTACTGCTGCCAGTCCAGCTGCTGTAAGCCCTACTGCTGCCAGTCCAGCTGCTGTAAGCCCTGTAGCTGCTTCTCAGGCTGTGGATCATCCTGCTGCCAATCCAGCTGCTACAAGCCCTGCTGCTGCCAGTCCAGCTGCTGTGTCCCCGTGTGCTGCCAGTGTAAGATCTGAGGCTCTGACTGCAGACTGCAGGTGGCCTGACTGGTGAAGGGCCCGGCTGCCCAGCTTCCTTGCCCTGGGTTCTCTGGTGCTCCACTGTCTCCACTGTGTCCTCACTGGCTTCATCCACTCCACACCAGTGCTCCCGAAACTGACTGAGGACCCCTTCTGGCTCATTGCCTACTACTTCTCCTGAACTTCCTCTCCCTGCTCCTCACTCATTTAAGATCCAAAGCGGCCCACTGAGGCCCCAGAGGCAGATCAGACCCCTTAGACCCTGACAGCTGCTCCTTCTTTCAGGAGTGTGATCGACCCTCAATCTCTCTGGCTGTCTGTATATCAAGACTGAATCCTGACCCTCTAAATAAACAAAGTCTCTAAGCACAAAGCTCACTGTCTTGTGGTTCTCTCCTTCCCACCTCTCTCTCATTCCCAGAAGCACCATCTTCTTGCCTCCACCCCTGGGCCTGTTCCCATTTCTCTCCCCTCAGCATCTTTCATGTCATGGTCCATGTCTTCATGCACAGAACTAACGTCTATAGCTTTCTGCTCTGGGCCCCTTGTTGTGTTGGGCTCCAGAGATGACAGAGCAGAGTAAATCCAAGCTCACAGTCTGGTATGTGGGGAGAGGTGGGGAGAGGGAAAGGTGGTGAGGGCGGTGGTGTCAGCCGTGGAGGCACTGCCGTCCCGTGGGAGGGAGGGAAGCTCAGGGCCAGGCCACTTCAGCGGAAGGATGAGGAAGGGTCTGTATGCTGAGCTGTGCGGTACATCAGGCCCTAAGAAGCCCCTAGTGCATGCAGGAGCCAGACGTGGAGATGCGGAGGAGCTTGGGCTTATCTGCAATCTCACAGGGCCTTGAAAAACCAGACAGGAGAAGGCAGGACTGCACACAACGCCAGCTGCGGGACACAAGCTCGAAGGCAGCCGGGAGTTGAATAGATCCCCACCTCCAAAAAAAAATTCCAGAGCTGGGGGAGCCCAAATGCCCAGTGCCTTCTAAGGCAACCTAGCCTGGAGACAAGCTTTCTTTCAGCTTTTATTTTGGGTTCAGGGCTGCATGTGCAGGCTTGCCATATAGATGAATTGCATGTCATGGGGGTTTGGTGTATAGATTATTTCATCAACCAGGTAATGAGCATAGTACCCAATAGGTGACTTTTTGATCCTCACCCTCCTCCTGCCCCCGCCACCCCCGCCAAATGCACCACAGTGCTGTTGTTCCCTTGTGTTCCTATGTACTCAGTGCTCAGGTCTGACTCATAAGTGGGAACACGCGATATTTGGTTTTCTGTTCCTGCATTAGTTTGTGAAGGATATTGACCTCCAGCTCCATTCATGTCCCTGCAAAGGACATGATCTCATTCTTTTTGATGGCTGCACAGTATTCCATGGTGTATAAGTACCACATTTTCTTTATCCAGTCTGTCATTGATGGACATTAGGACGTTACGTGAAGATGAAGGTAGAGGTTGGGGTGATGCTTCTATAAGTCACAGAGGACCAAGGGTTGCCAGCAAGACCCAGAAGCTAGAAGAGACCAGAACAGAGGCTCTGTTGCAGCCCCAGAAGGAACCAGCCCTGCCCACCCCTGCATCTCAGACTTCTGGCCCCCAGGATTGGGAGAGGGATGTTTCTGTCATTTGTGGTCCTTTGTTAGGGCTGCCCCAGGAAGCGAGTACAAGCGGTGGCTCAGTCAGAGCAGGAAAAGCAGTCATTCAGGGTATTTTCTGTCGGGGGGATCTAGAGTGGAAATCAGAAGCTTATGTTCTCGATGGCAGCTCTGGGACCTGGACTTCCTGGAAGGACTCCAGCTGTCCACAGCAGGGGCCCCTGGAGACCTCAGGTTTCCAAGCTGTCCTGGAACCCTGAGCTCCAGTGCACCTGCCATGTGGTCCAGGGACAGGGAGCCACCTCACCGCCACCTCTGCCACAGCCACCTCAGGGCGTCCACAGGCTGGTGACAGCACTGGGGTGTGCGTCTACCCAAGCCTTTCTCTGGGGAAGCAGGTGACCAGCTGCAGCGGAAGCCACAGGTGCACAGCTCGCCCTCATGCGCAGCAGCACTTGAGCCCTGGCATGGGCCTCTGCCTGCCTTCCCTTCCAGACCTGGGGAAAGGCATTCGATTGGCAGGACCTCATTCTCACCCTGGCCTTGGAATTGACATTTTTATCTTCTAGCTCATGCAGTGTAGACAGGACCGGAGGAGGGGGTGGAGACTCTGTGGGTGGGGCTCGCCTACTTCCTGCCTTTTCCCCCCTCAATTATCCCCCCACTAAGGCTTCTGTAGCCCTGTTACTGTACCCAGGGAGGGTGTCCAGGATCTTGGCTTCTCAAACAAAGAATTGGACAAAACGCACAAATAAAGCGAGGAGAGCAAAAGCTGGGATTTATTGAGAAGGAAAGTGCACTCCACAGTGTGGGAGCAGCCGAGCGGAATTCATTGCAAAGGAGAAAGAATGTTGTGGAAGTGAGGTGCAGAACAGACAGGATGCCCTGGGCGAGACAGGGTGCAGGGCGGGCTGCTCACAAGGATGAGAAGCAGAGACCGGCCTGAGGGAGGCTCCCTTTATGGGACTCTTCCATGATTATTCCTAAGGAGCTGGGAAGAGGTGTTGCTAGGAAGCATGTTCTGGGTGGTCCTCTGGGTGCATGTGTGCAGTAGCTGTACACGCTTGTTCATACCATTCATGTCTCATTAGCATCTTAAATCTCCACCCAGAGATGTGCTTTATACTATTATAAGGGCCCCGTTAAAGAGTTTTTGTGAGTTTAAATACCCTGTACTGGAGGTCCGCCCTATGTAAATGAAGAGAATGAAGTTACAAAGTCATTTGTTCGCTGTGTGCCCATGGGGAGGACATGTCCTGTCATAGCTGAAGTGCGAATCCGCCTTATGTTCCCTGCCTCCAGACCGTATTTTCCTGCCTCAGTCCCAGAGCCTGCTGCATGGGCATGCAGCTCCCACAAACACACAAGTTCCCACACTTAGAAGGCTTCATGCCTTGCTGTCACTGTCTTGAAATTCTCTGCTGGGCGTGGTGGCTCATGCCTGTAATCCCAGCACTTTGGGAGGCCGAGGTGGGTGAATCGCCTGAGGTCAGGAGTCTGAAACCAGTCTGGGCAACATGGTGAAACCCCATCTCTACTAAAATACAAAAAAATTAGCTGGGCGAGGTGGCGGGCGCCTGTGGTCCCAGCTACTCAGGAGGCTGAGGCAGGAGAATTGCTTGAACCCGGGAGGCAGAGGTTGCAGTGAGCAGAGATGGTGCCACTGCGCGCCAGCCTGGGCGACAGAGTGAGACTCCGTCTCCAAAAAAAAAAAGAAAAAAAAGAGAAATTCTAAATAACTTTGTTTATCAGCTTGGGCTTTGGGGGCAAATCTGGTGGGACAGGGGAGTGTGCACACGACAGGGGTTGCACCAGGGGCAGTGTGCACGCGTGTGCATGCAGGGCCCTGGGCACGGTGGGCAGCACAGACCTGGCTGCGTGGTGTGTATCTGAGGGCAGTCCAGGGCACCAGGGGGAGGCTGGGCTGGAACCGGGGCCCAGGAAGGAGTTGGCAGCGGTAGAAGGGCAGTCATGGCAGCTGCGGCTCACGGGGAGGAGAGACCCTGCGCATGTCAGCAGCAGCCCAGGGTGGGCAGCTGGCTGGTCTGTCTGTCCCCAGAGCTTGGTTCCCCAGCACCTGCTAAATATGTGCTTCCCAGTCCAGGGCTAGGAAAGGAGCTGCCAAGCTCAGGCGGTACACAGTAAATTGTTACAGAATGAAACTGTGTATATGGACGTTAGCATAGAGCAAACCAGGGGGTTATTAGAATTCCTCAAACACTTTTGAACCTTTAGATTTGGAAAACGGCTGCAACATTGCAAAGCAAACATCCACAAGACAAACTTAGAAATTAAATGTAAAGGAAATGGCTGGGCACAGTGGCTCTTGCCTGTAACCCCAGCACTTTGGGAGGCTGAGGCAGGAGGATCACTTGAGCCCAGGAGTTGGAGACCAGCCTGGGCAACATAGTGAGACCTGGTCTCCATGAAAAATAAAAATAAATTAGCCGGGCCCGGTGGTGTGCACCTGTAGTCCCAGCTACTTGGGAGGCTGAGGAGGGAAGATTGCTTGAGCCCAGGAAGCTGAGGCTGCAGTGAGCCATGATTGTACCCCTGCACTCTAGCCTGGGCAACCAAGTAAGACCCTGCCTCAAAAACCAAAAAGTAAAGAACATTGTAGTTGATGGAAAAGAATACTATTTTCAAATAAAGCTTCAGGTGAACTGATGATTAAAGGGTAAGACAGGGCAGGCACAGTGGCTCATGCCTGTAATCCCAGCACTTTGGGAGGCCAAGGCAAGCGGATCATCTGAGGTCAGGAGTTTGAGACCAGCCTGGCTAACATGGCGAAACCCCATCTCTACTAAAAATACAAAAATTAGCTGAGTGTGGTGGCGCACGCCTGTAGTCCTAGCTACTCAGGAGGCTGAGGCAGGAGAATTGCTTGAATCAGGGAGGGTGAGGTTGCAATGATGCCCACGGTGATGGATTAGAGGTGGAGATCTCATTAGGAACTCACGCTCAGCTTCGTACAGACACAGATGGTCACACACAAACACCTGCAGATGTGTGCAGACGTGGTTAGGATGCACACGTATGTCCTGTTGCTCTGTCAGTGGAGAGTGTTGACAGCTGTTGTGAGACCTCGGTTCTTGTCTTCTTAGTTTAAAATAATTTAAACAAGACACACAGGAGATGCAGCACAGAGGAATTCATTGCAAAGGAGAAAGAATGTTGTGGAAGTGAGGTGCAGAACAGACAGGATGCCCTGGGCGAGACAGGGTGCAGGGCGGGCTGCTCACAAGGATGAGAAGCAGAGACCGGCCTGAGGGAGGCTCCCTTTATGGGACTCTTCCATGATTATTCCTAAGGAGCTGGGAAGAGGTGTTGCTAGGAAGCATGTTCTGGGTGGTCCTCTGGGTGCATGTGTGCAGTAGCTGTACACGCTTGTTCATACCATTCATGTCTCATTAGCATCTTAAATCTCCACCCAGGGATGTGCTTTATACTATTATAAGGAGCAAAGGGTCAGAGTGAGGACAGGTAAAATCAAAATGTGCATGCTCTCTACGGGGGAAATTCCCTCCTGAGATAGCTTTGTTCGAATGAGCTCAATGACAACATGAATGGGGAGGCTTGTTGCCTTGGCCCAGTGGTCACTACGGTTGCTGCGAGGAGATGGCCACTTCCTTGACAACCTCTCCTGCCTCAAGAGGGCCCCAAACCTATGGCACCCCACAGCAGCAGGAGGTTGAATACCAGGCTCCAACCCAAGGACCAGGGACCCTTGGAGACATGGCAACTTCTAGGACTGAGGCAAAAAAGATAAAGGTGAGTCTGGAGCATCTTGTAGCTCCAGAAAAAAAAAATCTAAAAGAAAACAAAGCAAAGCCCCGATACATGCAGTGATGGAAAGTATCAGAAGCACGTTGTAGGGACACGTGAGCCAAAAGAAAGCGCTCCTGGGGGTTACAAATAGAACAATTCGATCAACACAATAAATAGAGAGAGTAGCATTGACTCTAACCCGAACTGTAAAATAGATATCCATGAACATGACTGATAGAAATAAGTGATTTAGTAAATAAATAAAGGAGGATCACTTGAACTCGGGAGGCAGAGGTTACAGTGAGCCGAGATCGCACCACTGCACTCTAGCCTGGGCAATAGAGCGAGACTCCGTCTCCAAAAGAAGTAAATAAATAAAAGTAAATAAATAAATGGGAGTGGATAGGCAAGTCCCCCATGCAGAAGAGTTCCCACTAATTCTGTGTAGCCCTCACCCCTTAAGTGCAGGCAGCACTGGGACCTCCTTCTGAGAATGCAGCACGGGACAGGGGAATTCAGGAGCATCTTTCCGTGGGGAATCCTGAAAGACACAAACACAGCCAGGAGACGGGGGCAGCATAGCCCGCGAGGCACGACGAGCCATGCCAACAGGACAGGCCCTCAGCATGGGGTGACGAGAAGGGCATCTCCCTCTGTGCTCTTCCTTCCCACATCCACAGCCCCGTCTAATCGTGAAAACACCAGACAGATCCTAATAAGGGACACCCTACAAACACCTGAGCAGTCCTCTGAACCCTCCAGGTCACCACCAACAAGGAGAGCCTGGGAAACGGTCACCGCCCAGAGGAGCCCAGGGAGACGGACAAGGGAATGTCACGTGGGACCCTGGGTGGGGCCCTGGGACAGAAACGGACCAGCACGTAAATGCTAATGAGAGAAGAACAAAGTGTGGACTTTAGTTAATAATAATGTATCAATATTGGTTCTCTATTTTATTTTATTTTAATTTTTTTTTTGAGATGGAGTCTCGCTCTGTCACCCAGGCTAGAGTACAGTGGCGTGATCTCGGCTCACTGCAACATCTGTCTCTCAGGTTCAAGCAGTTCTCCTCCTTCAGCCTGCTGCATAGTTGGGATTACAGGGGTCCACCACCACGCCTGGCTAATTTTTGTATTTTTAGTAGAGACGGGGTTTTGCCATGTTGGCCAGGCTGGTCTCGAACTCTTGACCTCAAGTGATCCGCCTGCTTCAGCCTCCCAAAGTGCTGGGATAACAGGCGTGAGCCACCGTACTTGGTCATTATTTAGTTTTTAGTTTAGTTTAGTTTAGTTTTTTCTTCAGACAGAGTCTTGTTCTGTGGCCCAGGCAGGAGTGCAGTGGTATGATCTCAGTTCACTGCAACCTCCACCTCTTGGGTTCAAGCGATTCTCCTGCCTTAGCCTCCTGAGTAGCTGGGATTACAGGCGCCAGCCACGACGTCCAGCTAATTTTTGTATTTTAGTAGAGACAGGGTTTCACCATGTTGGCCAGGCTGGTCTCCAACTCCTGACCTCAAGTGATCCTTCCGCCTCAGGCTCCCAAAGTGCTGGGATTACAGGTGTGAGCTACCACGCCTGGCCCAATATTGGTTCTCTAATTGTAAGAAACATACCATACTGAAGTAAGATACTAATAATGGGGGAAGCTGGGTGTAAGGTGTATGGAAACTTGCTTTGCAATTTTTCTGTAAATCTAAAACAATTCCAAAAATAAAGCTTATTAAAAAATAATTTAGACTCCCATGAAACTGATTTCTTTGAAGAATTAATTTTTTTAAAAAAAATTTCTCCACAAGAATCACCAGGTCTACATGCGCTGACATTTATCATTTAAAACAATTTATCAGAAACTAATCCTAATGTTGTCACAGCCTGTAAGATACCTTTACTGCTCCAATAACAGCTGTATCAGCACAAAGATTCTTCTCAAAGGTCATCAAAAATTATTTGAGATCTTGCATTTGCCAAAAAAGACTGAAATAACTTTCAGTTATGTCAAAACCGAAAATGAAATTTCTGAAGTATCCATTTTGATGATCTAATAAATGAATTTGCAGAAAAAATTGGAAAAATCATAAACATCCTATTAATAAAATATTATTTATTATATAAAATTCTGAATCCAAAAATTATTGTTTTGTAGTTTGTAAATTGGTGTTGTTACTTGGCACCACTATCACCCCTATTTATTGTGTAAGTGATAAAATCATTCCTAAAGGGGAAAGCTTTCACTGTGGTTTTTTGCTGCTTTTTTTTTGTCCCAAGACAGAGTCTTGCTATTTCCCCCAGGCTGGAGTGCACTGGCACAATCTTGGCTCACGGCAACTTCCACCTCCTAGGTTCAAGCAATTCTCCTGCCTCAGTGTCCGGAATAGCTGGGATTACAGGCACACGCCACCACCCCTGATTAATTTTTGTATTTTTGGTAGAGACAGGGTTTCACCATTTTGGCTAGGCTGGTCTCGAACTCCTGACCTCGTGATCTGCCCACCTCAGCCTCCTAAAGTGCTGGGGTTACAGGTGTGAGCCACCACACCCAGCCTTTTGCTACCTTTTGAACCAGGAGTCCCACCATTTCTGTGTCTGGCCTATCTCTCTCCCTCTCCAGGGCCCAGCTCCTCGGACCCCTCCCGGGTCCTCACCTGACCCTGCCACACTCTCGCCCCCGACCCTGGGCTGGGCTCCACCACAGGCTGCTGACAAATAAACAAGAGATTGGCAAATCAGACCCAGCATCAGATTTGCACAATGATGCATCGTGGCAACGAAGGGTTGACATCAAGAAAGCAAATGTGCCTGATATTGTAAATAATACCAGACATAAATGAGGCTGCATGTGGTGGCTCATGCTTGTAATCCCAGCACTTTGGGAGGCTGAGGCAGGTGGATCACCTGAAGTCAAGAGTTCAAGACAAGCCTGGCCAACATTGCAAAACCCTGTCTCTACTAAAAATACAAAAATTAGCCAGGCGTGGTGGCAGGTGCTTGTAATCCCAGCTATTCGGCAGGCTGAGGCAGGAGAACTGCTTGAACCCAGGAGGCAGAGGTTGCAGTGAGCCCAGATCACGCCATAGCACTCTAGCTTGGGCGTCTCAAGAAAAACAACAACAAAAAACCAAACCAACAATAAAACACTCACCGTAGTAATGACAGACACGGGGGAAAACATCATCTGTTTTCTCCATGTTGCGGAAAAGGTATTAATAAACCATCAATGCCTGATACAGTAACAATAGAACGGCGACAGATGGAGAAGCCCTTCATACAGTATAAACACAGGCACGCCCATAATTAGGTTTTCCTGCAAATGTGCACGTTCATATCTAAAGCGAAATCACATCTCTATTCGGCACCATGCCAGGGGCGGAAGGCGCCTGCTCTCTAAGACAATGGTTTTATAGTAACGATTGCAGCCTCCACCCAGAGAGCTTCAGGGGCCTGAGCTAGGGGCTGTGCTGAGGAGGGGGCTCCGGTCACCTGCGGTGTCTCCCCCACCCCTCCCAACGCCCAATCTCCTCCAGCTAGGCCTCCCTCTCGGACCCCGGGCCTTGCTTGAACCAAATGGTTCGACCTCTGCCTCTTCCTAAGGCTCATTCCTGAGCTGGGAAGAGAAAGTGAGGAAATTCCTTGCAGAAAAGGAGAAATCAGTCATCACCTTGTGTGTTGTGTGTGAGGCTCTCCCAGCCCGTGGAGGCGGGACCTTTTATTCCCTCGATTTGAAAGGCACCAAACGCAGATTCTCTGCATGTCCAAACTTTTTTACAAATGGAAGAAGAATGCATAAGAGCGTAAAGCATAGCTTGCACCCCAATACACTTTTGGCTTCTTGGGTTTGGGCCGTCTCGATCTGAGCTTGCACCCTGCTCTTCATTTCCTTCTTTTCCCCAAGCTGGGGGGCACCAGGCTGCAGCCGTGGTCATCGTCCCAGTGTGAACCCCCGAGGCCTGCACAGCTGCAACCATTTTCTTTGTACTTAAACACAAACGTTTATGTTCGCCAGCGCCCGTGTAAACTAGCAGCTCCCTCTTTCCGTCTCCTTGCTTGCGTTCCTTCGACGTGTCACCTCACAGACGCCCCTTCACTGTGTCACCTCACAGACACCCCTTTGCTGTGTCCATCCCTCCCCAGAAGGTTGGAGCCCTGAGAACAGGTGTACCTGGTTTTGGTCATTGTTCTACCCTCTGGTTCAATGACAGTGCCAGGCACATAGTGCACACACAGTAAATATTTGCCAAATACGTGCAGGGCTCCAAGCCATCCTGAGCAGCTCTGGGCAGAGGGGCTGAAAGTCTCACCTTTCCCTCCCGGGTTTCAGGGAAGAGCCCAGTCTGGGAAGACAGGAAGCCGGCTTGACTCAGCAGGGCCGCCAGGGGGCACTGTGGCAAGACGGCGGGAGAGCCGTGTGCCCAGGGTTGCAGGTTCTGGAGCCCAGAGGTGGCCCAAGGCGCCAGGTGTCTGGCAAACTCCAACCGCGGATGCAGGCGACAGCCCCAGTCTCCAAAGATTGAGTGGCTGCCACTGGCTTTAGGATAAAAATGAAGCGGGACCCTTAAAAACACCCAAACATGGTAGAAATACGTGAACTGGACGGGATGCACGTTGCGTTTTGCATTTTGCTTTATAGCCTGCAGCAGAGCAATGCAGAGGGCTCCAGGCTCAAACAGGCTCCGTCCTGGTGTGTTTGGAACTCGGGGAGCAGAGGAGGGCTGCAGGGGGAAGAGGGCATCGGGAGAAACTCTTAAAGGGAGGGTCTTCCCGTGCTGTGCACAGCCCTTAGTCCTGTGCCAGCGGTGGGCAGCTTTCATCTCGCATGGAGCCCCCCCCGGCCCTAGCTCCCCTGCAGTGCCCAGTGCAGCCCTGGCATCCCGCCGGGCTCCCCCACCGGCCCGGGCCACTTCCATCTTCCCACAGGAGTGGGAGCCTCAGGGAAGGGGCTTCTCGGAACTTCGCCCACTGTCGTCCCTCTCGCTGGACCTGCAGCTTGGGCCCTGCGTGTCTTCTTATCCAGAGCTATTTCTTAGTTCCTCAGCCCTCTGCTTGTGGTTAATAATGTTTCTATTTCCTGAAACTTTTCTTTAATGGATTGATTGAGGCCTGTAGCCATCTCATTTTCCTGGGGAGTTGGTCACGCGTGGGGGAGTCCCAGACACGTGGAAAGTGGCTGTAGTAACTCCTGCCGGTACCTGGGGAAGTGGGGAAGAACTGCCATGCTCAGAACCGTCCCTGGCCACTCCCGAGCACCCTCAGCCTTCACCTGCCTCTTGACCCTGGCGTCTCTGTCCAGCCAGAGCCCCAGGAGCTGCCTGTGGTTGAAAGGTTGGGCTACGACTCACCACGTGGCCACACACACCACGGGCACCGCGGGGTCGCAGGAGGAGCGTCAGGAAGACCCTCTGTAGGACTGGGCTGTGGCTGGGTGGTTGGGGGTCACCCCGGGTTGGAGGCTGTCAGAAAGCTGGAGCCCGCATGACCAGCTGGCAAAAGTCTGACCCCAGGCAAGGCCCAGCTCCTGTTAGCAGAGAGAAGGGGAGGTTTGGCATTTCATGGCTGGCACCGGGATCTTGATTTGTCCGTGTTTAGATGAAATTATGAAAGGGCCTCGTTCTGTCTCATCTCATCCCAGCCTTGAAGTTGTCTGAACTTGTTTTCAGCTGGAATGCAGGCAAACAAACCACTTCCAGCCCAGACCACCTCCACTCCCAGACCACCTCCACCCGAGACCACCCCACCCCATACCACCTCCAACACCAGACCACCTCCACTTGAGACCACCTCCAACCTCAGACCATCACACCCCAGACCACCTCCACCCCAGACCACCTCCACCCCAGACCACCCTACCCCAGACCACCTCCACCCCAGACTACCTTCACCCCAGACAACCTCACCCCCAGGCCACCGCACCCCAGACCACTTGCACCCGAGACCACCCCACCTCAGGCCACCTCCACCGCAGATGTCCTCCACCCCTAGATCACCCATCCCCAGACCACCCCCACCCTCAGACCATCCCACCCCAGACCACTTCCACCCCAGACCACTCCACCCCAGACCATCTCCACCCCAGACCACCTCCACCCGAGACCACCTCCACCCCATACCATCTCCAACACCAGACCACCTCCAACCAAACCACCTCCACCCCAGCCCATCCCACCCCAGACCACTCCACCCCAAACCACCTCCACCCGAGACCACCCCACCCCATACCATCTCCAACACCAGACCACCTCCAACCTCAGACCATCCCACCCCAGACCACCTCCAACCAAACCACCTCCACCCCAGCCCATCCCACCCAAGACCACTCCACCCCAGACCACCCCACCCCAAACCACCTCCACCCCAGACCACCTCCAACCAAACCACCTCCACCCCAGCCCATCCCACCCCAGACCACCTCCACCCCAGACCACCTCCACCCCAGACCACCCTTACCTGATGGAGGTTTTGGGGCTCTGGAAAGCTGCCTTCAAAGTTCTCTCCAGCCTGGGCCCCCTGGCCCGCCCCCTCCACTGGCGTTTACCCACTGCTGCCTCTCGCTCCCCACCGGGACCGAGGACCTGGCCTCCGCTCCGCAGCTGGGGAGGGGTCTTCCTTAGGGCACTGGCAGGAGGCCCGGGGTCTGTCCTGGCTCTTCCCTGGTTGTTCCTCATGGATCAGATAATTCTCTCCTGCTTCTTCCCCGACACGAAGCAATAGGCTCATATCCAGCAGCTCAGAGGCACGGTGGGGGGTAGGGGGTTGAGGGGTGTCTCGCACCCCTGGGCCCAGGTTTCAGAGAGGCAGAATCTGCCACTGCGGCTGTGCCCACGTCCACCCTGACCCCGACCCTGACCCTGGGCATGAACCGGCAGCAACTCGCTCTCAGGAGGGTGGGGACCGCCGGGACGGACCTGTTCCCTCCTTCCCTCCCTCCCAGGGGAGCTGAGGCAGCACCCTGGACCCCCGAGCTGGGGGTCGGCAGCGCCGTGACCCCATCTGCCCCATTTACCATGGGCTGCAAGATGGGGCTCCTCCTGGGGTCCTCCACGTGTGTTTCTGGGGCAGCACATCACCGGAGTCCAGGACAGGCTGGGGAGGCACCAGTAGCCCCAGCACCCTTGCTGCAGGCAGGGCAACCGCTGAGACTCCAGGGGCTGCACCACTGCCCTGTGGCCGGGCCCCTCCCCTCCTTCTCCAGGTCCCTCCAAAAGTGCTGGGGATGGGCACGGGGGAAGTGACAGGACTCCTGGCTCTCCCTTCAGTGGCTGAGGACCCCCAGTGCCCACAGGTTCAGAGAGGGAGGTCTGGCGGGCGCTGCGGGGCAGCCCCGACCTGGCACCCAGGAGAGGAGCCCCTTCCGCGTTTCGACGCTCCCACCCACAGCACAGAGAGACCCGCCCCAGCGCTGGACATTGGGGTGGTCAGTGTGTCCGGCCGCAGGCACAGCTGCACTGGTGGCTGCTCCTCTGTCCTGTTTTCCTGCCCATGTGACCTGGAGCCGCTGTGCCAGGCCTTCCACCACCAGGTTGGGGAAACAGCAGCAGAAAGAACCCCCGAGATGCCCGACAAGCAGAGGGGACTCCTGAGGATCAGGGAACTGCCAGGGCTGCGAGCTCTCCCAGTTGGGGGGGATCCTCACCCACAATTCAGCTCCTGTCTCCCGGCACCCCCAACCACCTTCACATTGTCACCAGCAGGGGCCTGATACCCAGGTGGGAGGTTCACCCCAGAGGCTGCAGTCTCTGGCAAGACGGGGTGGGGTGCATGTGGGCGGCAAGCCGCCCAGGTGCCGAGGCAAGAGACCGAGGGCACGAGCTCTTCCAGTGTAATGAAGAAAATATATACAATAAGAATAGTTATACTAGATATAGATCATAGATATGATTATATACGAACATTATTAATCATTAGTTTGTAGCAATTACTCTTTATTCCAATATTATAATAATCCTCACTGTATAATCATAACCTAGGAAAAACCAGGCCATACAGAGATAGGAGCTGAGGGGACATAGTGAGGGGTGACCAGAAGACAAGAGTGCGAGCCTTCTGTTATGCCCAGACAGGGCCACCCGAGGGCTCTTTGGTCTAGAGGTAACGCCAGCGCCTGGGAAGACGCCTGTTACCTAGCGGACTGTGGTCTGGCGGTAACTTCAGTGCCTAGAAAAGGCACCCGTTACTTAGCAGACCGGGAAAGGGAGTCTCCCTTGCCCCGGGGGAGTTTGGAGAAGACTCTGCTCCTCCACCTCTTGTGGAGGGCCTGACATGAGTCAGGCTCGCCCGCAGTTATCCGGAGGCCTAACCGTCTCCCTGTGATGCTGTGCTTCAGCGGTCACGCTCCTAGTCCTCCTTCAGGTTCCATCCTGTACACCTGGCTCTGCCTTCTAGATAGCAGTAGCAAATCAGTGAAAGTACTAAAAGTCTCTGATATGCAGAAATAATGGCGTAAGCTGTCTCCTCTCTCTCCGCCTCGGCTGCCAGGCAGGGAAGGGCCGCCTGTCCAGCGGATGCGTGACCCACGTGACCTTACCTATCATTGCAGACGGCTCACACTCCTTACCCTGCCCGCTTGTCTTGTATCCAATAAATAACAGCACAGCCTGGCATTTGGGGCCACTACCTGTCCCTGCGTCTTGGTGGTAGTGGTCCCCCGGGCTCAGCTGTCTTTTCTTTTATCTCTTTGTCTTGTGTCTTTATTTCTATGATCTCTCGTCTCCACACATGGGGAGAAAAACCCACAGACCCTCTAGGGCTGGTCCCTACAGGTGCAAAAGGTGTAGGACTCTCCCCTTCCCCAGAGTCACAGGGAACCCCGGGGCGCTGCTTTGTTGCATGAGCATTGTCCAGAGGGGTGTGGGGGTAGGAGTGAGACATGACGGAGCCCGGCCCAGCTCGGCGACAGGGTGGTGAGGTCCAGGGTGCCAAGGTTTTAAGGCACCCACCCTGAAACCGAGGCTCTGGGACCCATTCACCATGATGTGAGTGACCCTCAGGGATAGCAGAGTGTGGGGTGGACCCGGGCGGAATGAGGCAGGTGCTCCAGGGACCCCCATAGGACACCTGGACACCTGTGTCTCCCCACATGCGCCAGCTTCAGTGCCTGGGAGGGGACACCCCTGGCTGCCACGGGGAATCCACTAGGAGGCTGTGGTGTAGAGAAAATGATACCCCTCCCTGCTCCATCTCTCTGGCCAGCGCTTCTGCAGAGCAGCAGAGGGGCTGGGGTCTCTGGGCACGGCCATGCAGAGTGGGCTCCACCAACACCTCCGGCTTCTGCTGGAGGCTTCCTCCCCTTGGCCCGTCGCTCACCCCTTTCCTGAGTGACACAGCAGGACAGGGGGTGGTGGGCCAGTAGGGAAGGCTGCAGGCAGGAACGCCCACGGAGCAGTCCCCGGGCTCTCTGTTACCTCCACCACCCACCCTGGCCTAGGGCCTGAGGACTGCTGGGCTTCCTCCTGCCTGGGGGTTTCCGGTGGTCAAGTCCACTGTGCCCAGCCGTCCAGAAAACAGGAGCCACCTGCCCGTGTAACACGGTGGGGCTTTTAATCCACAGGAGCCTCAACACCTGTGCTCCTGGGACTTCCTCTTTTAGGGGGAACATGTGGAACCTTGGTCCCTTCAGGAGGGGCAGTCCCCACCCGCCAGTCGCCCAGGGCATCACCCTCTGAGCCCCTCTCAGTCCCCAGTGTCTGAGGGTGCCAAGGGCCTGCGGTTCCTGTCTCAGGCAGTTCAGCACTGCTGACTCCTCTGGAAAGAGCTCCCCTGACCGTGGGCTTCCATAACCAGCCGAGGTCTGCATCGTCAGTGCGGGCACCTGGTCCAAACCCGTTATTCTAAATTTGACAAGAGAACAGGGGCCACTGGCCTGCTTTTCACTGGTGAGCTGTGTTTCCTGGACCCATTATTGATGCTGGGGTCTAATGACATTTTCTAAACTCTTACAGCTTGTATTAAAATATCGAAACCTGAGTCCCTTGATATTGAGGAAAGTGGTCAGTTAGTCAAGCCATAGAGTTGGACAGTAGATGCTTGCCCGTCATCACCAAGATTGTTCATTGATTTTGAAGCAATACTTCAGGATTGACAAATGATAGCAGCCTGAAATACTGTGTGCGCCTGTGAGTATAATGAACATTCGGTGAGTGTGTCAATGGTAACATCTCCTCCCTACAAAAGATCATAGTTTCTCAGGTGAGGTGGCTCACGCCTGTAATCCCAGCACTTTGGGAGGCCGAGGCAGGCAGATCACCTGAGGTCAGGAGTTTCAGACCAGCACCAACATGGTGAAACCCCATCTCTAATAAAAATACAAAAATTAGCTGGGCATGGTGGCAGGCACCCGTAATCCCAGCTACTCGGGAGGCTGAGGCAGGAGAATCCCTTGAACCTGGAAGGTGGAGGTTGCAGTGAGCCAAGATCACACCACTGCACTCCAGGCTGGGAGACAAGAGTGAGACTTGGTCTCAAAAAAAAAAAAAAAAAAGAAAGATCCTAATTTCTTATCACTTTCTAAAAGGTGGGCGATGGATTTCAAGATGAGCTGTTCTCAACACTCCTTCTCCTTCTGGAAATCCTTCAGTCAGCCCACCTTGGCCTCTGAGCTGCCTGGCTGCGGAAGGAGGCTGAGAGATGTCACCAGAGGATGCATTTCAGCACCGTTTGCACTAAGATGTAAAGACCAAAACACTTTTCACTAAAGTGACTTTTGGAACTTTAGATGACATTATATTTAAACTTTGTATCTTAGAGGTATTTGTTTTAAGCAGAAATATTTACAATCTAGCTCATCCTGAGAACCAGCCTCTCCACAGCACCGCTTTCCAATGCGACCACCTTTCCAGAGAGGGGCCCACCTGTGGGTTGTGGAAAGTTCTTTGCATTTTCTTTTTTCTTTTCTTTTCTTTTTTTTTTGAGACGGAGTCTCGCTCTGTGGCCCAGGCTGGAGTGCAGCGGTGTGATCTCGGCTCACTGCAACCTCCGCCTCCCGGGTTCAAGCGATTCTCCTGCCTCAGCCTCCTGAGTAGCTGGGATTACAGGCGAGCGCCACCACACGTGAATAATTTTTGTATTTTTAGTAGAGACAGGGTTTCACCATGTTGGCCAGGATGGTCTCAGTCTCCTGACCTCATGATCCGCCTGCCTCGGCCTCCCAAAGTGCTGGGATTACAGGTGTGACCCACTGCACCCAGCCGGTTCTTTGCATTTTCTAGGACGCAGAGCAGACCTGTGTGCTGAGACCTGGCACGGATGGGAGCCCTCTTGGCACAAGAAGATTGACAGCTGTGGTAGAAGGTGCTGTTTCTTGCCAGGAGGGCGTAACATAGAGCCATTTCTGATTATCTTTTACCAACTCTCACTCCTAATGAGAACTATTTCTCATACCTAAAAGCAAGTTTTACTGCCTCTATGGTGAAAATAGTCTAGTTTAATAATGTTTTCTCTTGGGACAATGATGCTTTGTAAATGGAAATAACACAGATTCTGTACTTTGCCCCATCTTGTTTTTCTTTCTTTCTTTCTTTCTTTTTAGGCAGTGAGACAGACTTTATTCAGGGGGACTACAGCAATGAGGTTTTGCGGCAGGGAAAGAGGTTGCAGCTTTTGGGTTTGCTTCATGCCTTGGACACACAGTAACTTGGAATTCTTGCACTTACAATTTTTTGAATTATGAAAGTAATACATGTTAGTGGCTAAACAAGAAAGGAAGGCACGGCCGGGCGCGGTGGCTCACGCCTGTCATCCCAGCACTTTGGGAGGCCGAGGCGGGCGGATCACGAGGTCAGGAGATTGAGACCACGGCGAAACCCCGTCTCTACTAAAAATACAAAAAAATTAGGTGGGCGTGGTGGCGGGCGCCTGCAATCCCAGCTACTCTGGAGGCTGAGGCAGGAGAATCGCGTGAACCCAGGAGGCGGAGCTTGCAGTGAGCCGAGATGGCCCCACTGCACACCAGCCTGGGCGACAGAGCAAGACTCCGTCTCAAAAAAAAAAAAAAAAAAAAAAAAAAAAAGAAAAGAAAAGAAAAGAAAGAAAAGAAAAGAAAAGAAAAGAAAAGAAAAGAAAAGAAAGGAAAGCACGAAGGAAAATAGCAAAGGGTCCCGGTGTTGCACACACACAAAGCAGCAGCAGCCGCTGGAGGTCTTCCGTGTTTGGTAAAGGTGGCTACGGACTCCCGCATGGAGACGCGGCCTGGAGGGTGTCACTGCTCTAGGCTGTCTGCAGGGCCTCTCCGCAGACCTGGACGGATTTCAGTGGGAGACTAGAGCGTCACTTAAGATGTTTGAATGTAAAAGCATCCTGAATGATCATCTTTTAGCTTGAGATTTTGGCTACCTTTCAAACAGACATAGTTTGACCTTTGCAGTCCTAGGTAATGCAGGAATGGCAAATGCTCCTGAAGGCGGGGAGGCGGCCCGGCCCGCACTGAGCTTCTCACCGGCCAGAGGGCGCAGCCACCCGGCCTTCCCGAAGCAGGACAGCGGCCTTTCCAAGACCGCGGAGTCCCCGTGAGGGATGGTGCCTCCGGAGCCTGGCATCTCGGGCGGATGAGAAGCTGAGCGCGGTCAGATGGCCCGCAGGGTCCCACTGCGGGCCGAGCCCTGGCTGGGGGACAGTTTGGGGGGAAGCAGCAGCTGCCTCAGTTTACAGTGGCAGCCGGAGGAGGACCTGGGCAGTGGCGAGTGTGGCTGTTTGCATGGCGGGGAGAAAGAGGTGGTCCCTCCTGCCTGCTGCTGATGCCCACGGCCTCCTGTCCCCAGGAAAGGGGTCTGCGCCCCTCCCCCACCGGAACAGCGACAGAAGAGGCGACCCTCTCAAAGGCCCTTCTGCTGCTCACCGCGGGGTGAGTGATGGTGTGGAGCAGGATCTGGGTCCAAGGTCTTCTTCCACGTTCAGGGTTCCCGTGGTAACTGAAGAATTATCCATCCAGAGAGGCAGGGGAGGGCCTGGGACAGGGATATATCTTATTATTGATAAGTACAATTTTAAATTTTAAATTATCAGCAGGACCGTAGGAGATGACATAAAGAGGAAAAATAACCTGTGTGGCGCTCTCAGCATAAAGCGCCCAGGTTCAGGGATGCGTGTGCGTCCTGCTGTCTGCTCATTCGAAGAGCAAAGGAAGCAGGGATGATTTAGGGCCTCCGAGGTGACACGGAATCGGGAGGAATGGCGCCACGAGAAAGACGTCTTTCTCATTTTGTGAGCAGAGAGCCCATCGTTCAGGAAGAGCATCTGAGCCACAAAGCTAATCACAGATCACCGAGCCAGCGCCGGCTCCTGATTTGTCTGTGTGGCTCCAGGTGGCAGGTGCTCCACGGCACTCAGTAAAAGGTGCATATGGTGAGGGGTGCAGGCAGTGGCCAAACAAGGGCTTCCCTGGATCCTGGAGTGGCTCCTTCCAGCCACAGCCAAGGCTGCTGGAGGGAAGACCAGGCCGAGGGCACGTCTTGCGTGCTCTCACTCACAAGCACACACCTGTATTTACCATGTTATGTACACCCACAGAATCATCTTTAAGATCTTGTTAATATTAATATATAAATTGAAGGTCGGAGGCAGTGGCTCAAGTCTGTAATCCCAGCAGTCTGGGAGGCCAAGGCTGGTGGATCACTTGAGGTCAGGAGTTCAAGACCAGCCTGGCCAACATGGTGAAACCCTGTCTGTACTAAAAACACAAAAATTAGCCGGGTGCACTGGCACATGCCTGTAATCCCAGCTTCTCAGGAGGCTGAGGCAGGAGAATCGCTTGAACCTGGGAGTGGAGGTTGCAGTGAGCCAAGATTGCACCACTGCACTCTAGCCTGAGTGACAGAGCGAGACTCCATCTCAAAAAAAAATTAATATATAAATTAATATGAGTAACATATACACATACATTAATAAAAATATACAAAATAATACATATAGTATATAATAATATATGCTAAGTATAGGAAATATGAATAATATAAATAAAAAGATTATGAATTATGCATTAAATATTAAATAATATTAATATGAATATAAATATTTATTATATCTATCTATCTGTATGTACCTATATAGACACAGACAGATATCTATCTCTATAGCTAGATATTTCTATCTCTGTACACACTCATCTATATCCACATGCATGTATATGTAAAAAGAGAGAGAGAGCAGAGACATAGAGAGATTTATTTCAAAGGATTATCCCGTGCTATTGTAGAGGTTGGCAACTCCAAAACTCACAGGGCAGGCAGGAGGCTGGTCATTCCCACAGGAACTGCTGTTGCAGTCTACAGCCTGAAGGGAGAATTCCTTCCTTCTTGTGGGAACTCAGTCTTTTCCTTTTAAGACCTTCACCTGATTGGGTGAGGCCCACCTGCCTTCCTCTGACTGGATGAGGCCCACCCACATTGTCAGAGGGACATCTGTTTCACTCAAAGCCTACTGATCTAAAATGACTTTGATTAAATGACCTTCACAGCAACATTCAGACTGGCGTTTGGCCAAACAGCCTGGCACTGTGGCCCAACCTAGGTGACGTGAAGCTCATGACCTCCCTGTGCCTGCAGGGCGCTGTGGCACTCCATCCCTCTTCTGTGTCAAAGAGCTGTCTGAACTGCTCCAGCAACTCTGACACATGGGGACGTCCTGTCCTGAAGGGATGGGGGCATGCTAGGACTGGTTTGCGAATCTCTCCATAAATGGCCTTGCTGTCTCCAGCATGAGAGAAGGTTGGAGCGTAAAGAGCAGATTTCTGCGGTGTCCCTTGTGCTTCCTGAAAGGAGTCCCACACTCAAGCTCACCCCCACGGTGGATGTGCTGGACCAGGACCCTGGGGTGCTCGGGGCCCGAGGGTGCCAGGATTAGAACCTCCACACCCAGAGGTTCCTGCCTGGGGCCTGCATCACCCGTGGCGTCTCCTGCCTGCCCCGGATTCCTCCTCTTTCTTCCCTTTGCCGTTTTTTCTGGCTCCTTTAGCTGCAGGTCCACAGCTGGCTTTTCTCCAGCTCTCCTGCATACTGGCTGAGAAGGGCACCTATGTCATTGTTGCTGGCTGTTTGCGCTGCTGTAATGCAATCCCTGAGACTGGGGGATGTATACAGGACAACACTGATTTCTCATAGTCGTGGAGGCTGGGAAGTCCAAGATCGAGGCACTGGTAGGTTCGTGTCTGGTGAGGGCCCCAGTCTGCTTCATAGCTGGTGCCCTTGGCTGTGACCTTCAGAGGAGGTGAACGCTGTGTCCTCAAGTGGGAGGCAGCAGAAGGGCACATCCAGCAGTGAGGCTGTTGCTATAACAAATACCTACAACTGTGGAAGCAGCTTTGGAACTGGGTAATGTAGAGGCTGGAGGATTTGGAAGGTGCATGCTAGAAGCAGCCTAGATTCTCATGACCACAGAGAATCACCACTAAGGGTGATTCTGGCAGGTCCTCGGAAGAGGGTGCTGCGGAAAAGCCCAGTTCTCCTCACACTTAAATGGTTGTGAACAGAAAGTTAGTAGAAATATGGAGAGTGAAGACTATTCTGATGGGGTCTTAGAAGTGAGGATTTTTTTTTCTTTGAGACAGGGTCTGGCTCTGTCACCCAGGCTGGAGTGCAGTGGCGAGATCTCAGCTCACTGCAGCCTCAGCCTCCTGGGCTCAAATGATTCTTTCACCTCAGCCTCCTAAATAGCTGGGACTGCAGGCTGCCCTACCCCGCCCTGCCACCTCACATGGCAGCTGTTCTTTATTCATAATCCCCACTGTCTGTCTCTGCTTCTCTTCTCCCTTTCTCTTCTCTCTCTGTCTTTTGGGGTTTCGTCATGTTGCCCACACTGGTCTGAAATCCTGGGCTCAAGTGATCCTCCCACCTCAGCCTCCCAAAGTCCTGGGATTACAGGCGTGAGCCACCCCACCCAGCCAGAAGTGAGGAATATCTTACTGGACGCTAGAGGAAAGACCGACCTTGTTGCAAAATGGCAAAGATCTTGGCTGAATTATGTCCATGTTCAAGTGCTCTGTGTAAGGAGAAGTTTAGGAGCCAGAAGCTGGGACATTGCTAATGCTGCATGGAGCCTTTTTCAGAGGAGTCTTAATCCCATTCGCATGAGAGGAGGCCTTCCTCACCGCCTACTCCCCTCCCAAAGGCCCGGCCTGTTACATTTCATTGCAGGAATTTCGGATGGGATGCATTCACACCAAAGCGTCACCCTCCTGAGTACCTCTCTGAAGCCACCTTGGAGCCTGGGCTCCCCCAGGCATGGGACAGCACACCCCGTCCACTGGAGCCGACCCTGATGAATGCAGGCTCACTGGCTTTGCCACCGCATGCCCCCGGAGGCATCAGACGCTGCTTGTCTCTGCTGCCTTTGAAAGGTGTGCGTGGAGTCGCAGGCCTGAACTACATGAGATCGAGACGGAAACCCCGCCAGGCACCAACTAACGGATGCCCAGGCTGGAGTGACCCTCCTCCTCACCCTGGCAGCAGAGACCCACGTTGGCCATCGAGAAAGAACCGACGCCTAGCGAGAAGTGACAGGGAACATTCAGGATCCCCCGCCTGCCCCCGTCTGGACCTTGAGATGAGGAAGGACTTTGTCGTTTTTGTCACTTTAACCGAATCTTGGACAATCACCGCCCAAAGCGTGCACTCTGTGGGCTGTTTAAAAAATTATATGCGCACAGACTCTAAAGGAAAAACCAGAGACAAACCGCTCATATTCCATGAACCTTCCTTCTGCATAAACCGCCACGTGTCGCTTGGCAAAGCCGTGGGCCTGGCAGTGGGGTTAGCCTTTCCCACTCAGGAACCGCGCTGGCCACGTTTCTGCCGGCATCAGCGCCCCTGAGCTGCTTTCCAAAGCGCGGCGTCAGGAACGTCACTCTTCACTGTTGAATTCAACGTGGGCACCTTTAATGGCTCAGTCATTTTTTTAAAAAAAATCAAAATTCCACGCAGGGGCCTTGGTTCCAGAGCTCCCTTTCCAGGAGGCTGTTGCGCGGGCTGGCCACCAGGTGGCACTGTTGCATAGCAAAAGGAACGCGGCTCCGCGCTGGAGAACCGGGCCGGGCTGCGCGGAAGCCCTGGAGGGCCAGCCGGGTGGAGGGAGCTGCAGGAGGGGGCGGCGTGCTTTCCGGGGGTGCAACTTGGTTTTCCCTGGAGGGATAAAGCTCTCCTTTGGCAGGTGCCTGGGGGTGCCCTTTAAAGCAGGGAGCCCAGGGAAGACCCAGCTCTCTTCCTGTGAGCTCATCCCTGGCATTCAGGGTGAAGGACCTGCAGCCTGGTCTCGGAAACGGCCCTCCAAGGCCTCCTTGTCCCCTGAAGCACACAGGCAGACCGCGGGTCGGGGTGCACCGTGGCTGTCCCTTCCCTCCAATGCTGGGCGACCCGGGCGGGTGGCCACCGCCTGACCTGGGCCTCCTGGCTGCCAGCCTGCACGCCCTGGGTGCAGAGGCAGGCGAGCCTGGCCTGGTCTGAACAGTCTTATGAGGATTCTCTGGGCCCGTGTGCTCCCGCCTGCCCCTGAAGGGCGTAGTGGAAGCATCCGAACATGCACTGGGTACCCTCGTGGCCTGGGACAGCCCTTCCCTGCTGGGCTCCTTGCTTTGTGTTAACCCTGAGGCCTGGGAGCCTGAGTTGGGGAAACGGGGGACTCCAGACAACACCCAGCTTGGATGCCGGCGTCCACTTCTGCTCAGAGAATCCAGTCAACTCAGGGCTTTGGGCTTTCCCATGACCAAAGAAAAGAAGTCAGTGAATGAGAATCAAATAAAGGAAATGATTTTCTGCCACCACCGGGGCGCAGACTTGCTGTCCATACCACTGTCCCTGGCTGTAGCACCCATGTGTGCCTGTGTGTCCAGAGGCCCACGGAGCCCAGATGGGCCTGGGGATGATTTCAGCCTCCAAGGAGGCCGCCCATCTCTTCCGGTGGCCCCTGCTTCTCACCCAGTGTGGGCCAGGCCCACCTGAATGCTGAGGGCAAGGACGAGTGGTCGTTACCTAAACGAGCCAGAGATGGCCTCTGGGGACTGGCCCTTGGGTCACTTATTTCTTCCCTGCAGGCTGAGCTCATTAGTTCAAGAGCCCACTGGCACCAAACTCAGATTTTTATACATTCAATTGTTTTAAAAATAGCCCCAAACAAGCAGACTTTCAGCCATTTAGAGCCTGCCTGTTGCATGTATTCTGCAAAACCTCACCTGGCAGCTGTTCGCTATTCATCATCCTCACTCTCTGTCTATCTCTCTGAGTCCATCTCTGTCTCTGTCTCCATCTCCATCTCTGTCTCTGCCTCTGTTTCCGTCTCTGTCTCCATCTCTGTCTCTGCTTCTCTTCCCCCTCTCTCTTGCTCTCTCTCCCTTCTCTCTCCGTCTTTCTCTGTCTCTTGCTCTCTCTCTTCCTTCTTTCCCCCGCTCTCTCCCTTTCTCTCCCCTTTCTCTCCCCCACCCCTACCACCCTGTCTCTCTTATCTGTATGATGGGGAATGAAGGATGCAGCAATGGCCGCCCATGTGTCGGTGGGAGCTCACTTCCCCAAGCCTTTACTTGAGGGGACTCTGAAGGGCTTCATGTCGCGTCAGCTTGTGATACGCACAAGCCGACTGCAGCAGACACAGCTGGGCCCTGTGTGCACATCTTCGCCCACCTCGAGGTCACCTGTGGACACCAGCATGGAGTCCAGCCTGTGGGGAAGGCTGGAGTCAGGGAGGCTAATGCCCTTCTAGGGGCAATCTGTACTAATGAAAGAGAAATAACTCAGAGGACACCATGGCGTCCCCTGCAGCCTTGCAGAGGGTCCCCAGCAGCTGTTCCTGCACTGAGGCCTCCTTGGCCTCCTCCTCCCTCTTCCCTGCGCTTCCCCGAATCCGCCCCCAACCCGTGAGCTTTGCCCTCCAGCCTTTGGCTCAGTGTCTGTTTTTGAGGAAACATAAACTAAGATAACAGCCTTGTGATTTCAGGGCTCCCTGTGACCGCAGCAGGGCCTGGGTTATCCGGGCGGATGCAGCTGTCCACAGACAGGCCTGAGGCTGGGCAGGGGGTAGGGGGCTGTGGCCTGCGTGTGCCTCTGTTCCCATTCCCGTCCCCTTCTTCCTTGAGGAGCACACGCCTTCTCCACTGTCACATTCCTCCTGCATCAGGAGCCCCCTGGAACCCGCGGCTTCGGGTCTGGTGCACCCTGTGGGGCCTCATGCCACTTGGTGTCACGTACTCAAGAGTTTATTTTCCCACAGAAATTTAGGAGAAAGTAGGGATTGTTTGTAGTCAAAGGAAGAAGTGTTCCTCAGTGGATGGAGAAGGCCTGGCTGTGCTCCAAGGCCCTGGGCCCTGCATACTCATCTCCTGGGGCTTCCTGAAGCTCCCTGTGGAGCGTGAGCCTGCCGGGCCACCTGGAGCACAGGGGGCCTCCAGGGACAGTGGGGGCACTGCGGGCCGGGCCCACGAGTGGGCTCCTTCACCTGGGCCTCCCCCAGGGCTGACAGCCCCTTGGATCCCAGGGAAATGCGTCCCAACCACAGAATGAGGTGCTGCTGGGGTACCTCCTTCCTCGAGCAGGACAGCCAGTCATGGTGCCCCTCTCTGAGTGGCATGGGCATCCAGGTAGAAGAGTGCCAGGACATGCCTGGGCAGCACCCTCTGGGATGCCACGGGCTCTATCCCCAGCTGCCCGCTGTGCCTCATTCTGGGGTTGATGGGTGCCAGGGCTCCCGCATGCTGGACCAGCAGGGCACCCTGCAAGGTGGTGCCGCCTTGAGGCAGTGCCAGGAGGTGACGGCTCGCCCACACAGGCTCCCGAACATCAGGGATACGCAGTAAAGACAACCTCATTCTAATGTTCTGTCTGTTTGGATAGGGACAAACACAGCCCAGATCTCAGCCCCCCGGCAGACACCAGACACCGCAATGATTTGCTCCAGCAAGCCAACTGTCCCGGAGCGGTAGCTGCTGGAGTCCTGATCCAACTCCACTATTGTCATTCCTATACCCAGGTGTGGGCGATCTGTGCTGTTAGACCTGGGGGGCTGCAATGGGTGGGACGGAAGCCTCTGGACCCCCAGTCCCTGGTGTAGAATGGTTCCTGGGAGTCTGGAAGAGGTGCCATTTCTCACGCGCCTGTCGGGGATGGACTGACAGCTGCAGGACCCACCTCGCCGCTTCTAGCTGTGGGTCCATGCAGCCAACACAGAGGTTTGTGGTCACTGAGGACATTCGTGCAGACACTTTGTCCAGTGCCCGAGGGGACAGCTGCAGGCCAGCTGTAGAGTCCATGCAAGTTCTGCCCTGAGCGGTTTGCATTGAAATCCAGGCAGTCGTCTGCTCTCCACACACTTCCACTCTGACTGGGAGGGGGCCGCAGTGTCCTTCAACCCCATGGGTCAGCGTCCACAGGCCCTGGATGATTTAGGCAGAGTTATACCAGTAAAAGACCACAGCTGTCTGGGGAAGCCAGGAGCATGCCTGGCACCCACTCAGATGCTGCCCTGGCAGCAGCCTTGTTCAGGGTCCCAGTCTCCTGCACATCCGGGACGCTGAGCAGGGCTGGCTGTCAAGTGGGGCTGGCTGCCGTGCTCACCTGCCTTCTGCTGCTGGGGGCCGGGGGACTGTGCTTCTTCGCCTTTAGTGGTGGAAGGAAAATACTCATGTAACAAAAACTATACACATGAAGTGTTTTCCCCCAAAGAAACAAGGGTGCTAGCCGGAAAGATGATCAGCTGCCAGAAAACCAAATAAAATAGCAAACCTTCTCTATAGGTGCCCAAGATGCCCTTGACAAAACTCCAAAGCCACTCATGGCAAAACCCAAAGCCAAAGAGAGATGGGAGGAAACTGCTCAAACATGAGGAATCGTGCTTCTCAGGAGCCAGTGGTGAACACGACCTTAACATATGAAATGCAAACCACTGTCATTCGAATGAGAACTAACGTGGTCCCCGTCACCCCCATCATTTATTTTGGTTCTAGCCACCGCAGGAGGATCACAGAATAACACAGGCCATGTAGGGAAATTGCAGCCTGGCCGGGCATGGTGGCTCACATATGGAATCCCAGCACTTTGGGAGGTTGAGGTGGGCAGATCACCTGAAGTCAGGAGTTAGAGACCAGCCTGGCCAACATGGTGAAACCCCATCTCTATCAGAAACACAAAATTATCTGGCCATGGTGGCAATTGTCTGTAGTCCCAACTGCTTGGGAGGCTGAGGCAGGAGAATCACTTGAACCCGGGAGGAGGAGGTTGCAGTGAGCCGAGATGGTGCCACTGCACTCCAGCCTGGGTGACAGAGCGAGACTCCATCTCAAAAAAAAAAAAAAAAAGAAAAGAAGGAAAGAAAGAAAGAAAGAAAAAAGAAAGGAAAGAAAGGAAGAAAATTGCAGCCTGCCTGAGTGGGGTGTCCTGCTGGTGAGGTGAGTGCTGCTGGGGTCTGGGCTTGTTGCTGACATATGCCTTGAGAAAGGTTTGAATAGGGCCGGGAACAGTGGCTCACACCTGTAATCCCAGCGCTTGAGAGGCTGAGGCAGGCAAATCACTTGAGATCAGGAGTTCAAGACCAGCCTGGCCAATATAGTGAAACTCCGTTTCTACTAAAGACCCCCCCCAAAAAAAACAAAAAAAAAACAAAAACAAAATTAGCCGGGTGTGATGGCTCATGCCTGTACTCCCAGCTTCTTGGGAGGCTGAGGCAGGAGAATCGCTTGAACCCAGGAGATGGAGGTTGCAGTGAGCCGAGATTGCACCACTGTAATCCAGCCTGGGCGACAGAGCGAGACTCCATCTCAAAACAAAACAGAAAGGTTTGAATGTTCCTCAGCCACTTGAGTGGCCCGGTCTGCCCAAGTATGAGAGATTTCCAGGGATGCAGGGCTTTCAATGCTAAGAATCATTTTAAAAAGGCAGTCTCCGGGAGTGAGTGGGTCGCCCTAGCGGCTGTGACTGGTGGCGCCCTTCCCCGCCCCTCACCAGCCCTGAAGAAACTGCCCCTCATTTTTGTTTTTCTTTGCATTTGTGTGATGGCTGCTAACTTTCTTGCATGCACATTGGCCATGAGTGTTTCCTGTAAGATATAAGTTTCCTGTGTGTATTATTTGCCCATATTTCTTTTCTTTTTTTTGAGACGGAGTCTCACTGTGTTGCCCAGGCTAGAGTGCGGTGGTGCCATCTCGGCTCACTGCAGCCTCCACCTCCCGGGTTCAAGCAATTCTCCTGTCCCAGCCTCCGAAGTAGCTGGGATTACAGGCGCCCGCCACCATGCCTGGCTAATTTTTGCATTTTTAGTGGAGACAAGAGTTCATCATGTTGGCCAGGCTGGTCTCGAACTCCCGACCTCGTGATCCACCCACCTCGGCCTCCCAAAGTGCTGGGATTCCAGGCATCAGTCACGGCACCCAGCCCATATTTCTACAAAGATTTTGTCTTCATCTTTTAAGTTCAGAATGTAAATACCCTGTGGCTCTTCCATCTTGTTTTGGGCCTTAGTCTGAATTGCGCCCTGTCACCACAAGGTGCATGAACAAGGGCACTGGCACTGCCTTCAGTGTCACAGAAACAACAAAACGATGCCAAACACACGACGTGAAATGCTGAGATCTCCATCAACAGGTGACCGCCGAATTCACGACGATCCAACGTAACCGTGGAAGCTGATGGAAAAAAGGAGGTGCATATACATATTGATGTTACAACCGTCCCATGTTAGGCTGGGCGCGGTGGCTCAAGCCTGTAATCCCAGCACTTTGGGAGGCCGAGGTGGGCGGATCACGAGGTCAGGAGATCGAGACCATCCTGGCTAATACGGTGAAACCCCGTCTCTACTAAAAATCCAAAAAATTAGCCAGGTGTGGTGGCGGGCACCTGTAGTCCCAGCTACTCGGGAGGCTGAGGCAGGAGAATGGCGTGAACCCGGGAGGCGGAGGTTGCAGTGAGCTGAGATCGTGCCACTGCACTCCAGCCTGGGTGACAGAGCAAGACTCCGCCTCAAAAAAAAAAGAAAAAAAAATAAGAAAGAAATCTGCAGGTTTATGAGCATGAGCACAGACAGTGGGTGAAACAGACACTAAGAGGTGTTCACACTGACAGCGGAAGGATCAGGACGAGAAGGGGTTGGGGGAAGTTTTTCGCTTTTAATTTTTGTACCCCCTATTGTTTACCCAGTAAGAATGGTCGGGTATTCCTTTTATAATTAAAGGAAGTAATCCATTGAAGAAAATAAAATAAATAAAGTTGAAAAAGATGCATGCCTATTGTGGGCCTTTCTTTTAGGTAAAAATAATGTCTAGAAAAATGAAAACCAAAATTTCTAACCATACTTTTTTTAAAGAAAGAAGTTGGTAAAGATAAAAACATAAATTAGGCCAGACTCGGTGGCTCACACCTGTAATCCCAGCACTTTGGGAGGCCGAGGTGTGTGGATCACAAGGTTGGGAGATTGAGACCATCCTGGAGAACACAGTGAAACGCTGTCTCTACTAAAAATACAAAAAATTAGCCGGGCGTGGTGGCGGGCGCCTGTATTCCCAGCAACTCAGGAGGCTGAAGCAGGAGGATGGTGTGAACCCGGGAGGTGGAGCTTGCAGTGAGCCGAGATCGCGCCACTGCACTCCAGCCTGGGCGACAGAGCGAGACTCCGTCTCAAAAACAACAACAACCACAAAAACCCAAAAAACATAAATTAAAGAAATAGAAAAGAAGAGCTGAGCATTTCACAAACGGAGAGCAGGTGTCTGGTGTTTGGTGTGTTCCGGTCGAGTGTAGTCAGGAAAAGGAAGCCGCGTTGTCTGCGGGGCGGGGGCCTGTGCTTGTGGCTGCAGCAGCCCCTTCCCATCAGATAAGGACATTGTTCATGCGCGGACTGGCACCCAGGACAAAAACAACACCCACAAAACCTGGTAGCCCCACTTAATGTTCCCCTGCCGCGGCGGCTGGAGGATGGAATTACCAGAAGCAATTAGACAAAGGAGGTTCAGAACCACAGGCATGGAATTAACTAACTTTATTTAAGATGACATGTGGAGAGACTGGAAGGACACCTTCGCTCTGTCTGGGAAGCCGTGAGGCTGAGGGGGCTGTCCCCCGCCCGGGTCCCGTGGGGAGCCCATCTTCTACCAACCCATCCCAGGTTCAGCAGGGTCTCTTGCTTTTGTTCGGAGCGCAGCAGGAGGCCACTGAGGTGCCCACAAAGGGGAGAGATGGGAGGCAGACCATGTTCTCAGTGACCACTGTCTCTGCTGTGTGATGAGGGGTTGTCTTGGGGAGGAAAGAATGCATGTGACCGGCAAAGCTGCAGAAACTCAGCTTAGAACAGGTCACAATCATGGTAGCAAACACTGGGGTGGGGAAGTCGGCCCTGACTGAGAGGCCAGGATGGATCCCAGGTACGTCTCTGAGGGGAAAGGAACAGGGCCCGTCACGAGCAGGAGGTGCCGCTGAGGAAAAGCAAGTTTCTGATGTGACTCCTGACTTCTCACAATGGGGCGTGGCACCAGCAATCAGAAGGGTAAAGGCTGTGGGTCGAATCAGAAGGTGCATCATACGTATGCCGAGATCAGACGCCTGTGACACGGCCAGGAGGTGTGCAGAACACAGCCCATGATGAGACTGCCCCTTGGGCACAGTTAGGGACTGCAGGATCATATTTAAAATTTCTGGTGCACAGATGTTGTGTAAAGAGACTGGGAGAGCGGGAGATTGGGAGAGGGGAAGGAGAGGAGGAGGGGGAGAAGGAGAAGAGAGAAGGCCTCCAGGAGCCTCAGAGCTGATGGACGCGGAGAAGCTGCGAAGCCTACACAGGGGACAGCCGGGAGGGTAGGGGCAGCAGGTGAGAGGAGAGAGGGCGTTAAGCTGGACGGGGTGAGCTGTGCGGGTCACCACAGGCGCAGAGGGATGATGAGCACAGAACACTGCCTTCGGGGGCTTGGGTGACCACGAAGACGTGTGTCAGGCTGGAGACCCTACCCTGCTTAGAAGCTGAATGTCAGTCTATGACTGTCTCATGGGTACCAATAAACATACTCCCCATGGCCCTGTCCCACTCTCCACGGCCCTGTCCCACTCCCCACGGCCCTGTCATACTCCCCACGGCCCTGTCAAACTCCCCACGGCCCTGTCATACTCCCCACGGCCCTGTCAAACTCTCCACTGCCCTGTTGCACTCCCCACAGCCCTGTCGCACTCCCCACGGCCCTGTCCCACTCCCCACGGCCCTGTCACACTCCCCACGGCCCTGTCCCACTCCCCACGGCCCTGTCCCACTCCCCACGGCCCTGTCACACTCCCCACGGCCCTGTCCCACTCCCCACGGCCCTGTCACACTCCCCACGGCCCTGTCCCACTCCCCACGGCCCTGTCCCACTCCCCACGGCCCTGTCCCACTCCCCACGGCCCTGTCCCACTCCCCACGGCCCTGTCATACTCCCCACGGCCCTGTCCCACTCTCCACGGCCCTGTCCCACTCCCCACGGCCCTGTCACACTCCCCACGGCCCTGTCACACTCCCCACGGCCCTGTCCCACTCCCCACGGCCCTGTCAAACTCCCCAAGGCCCTGTCACACTCCCCACGGCCCTGTCACACTCCCCACGGCCCTGTCCCACTCCCTACAGCCCTGTCGCACTCCCCACATCCCGTGGCATCTGGCTGTACATGGAAGTGAGGAAGCTGCTGTCTCCCCCAAAGAACATTGCTCCCAGCCAGGGCTCAGCCCTGTGGGGCAGGACTCAGAGGCTCCTGGTTCAGAGACCAGGGCCCTTGTCACTTGCAGCGTGAACAGCAGGGAACTTTGCCCCCGAGTCCCACAACAGAGGTGGGGACCTTGTCACGGTGGGCCCAGGTGTGACAACACAGGGCCAGCGATTCTTCACCCGGCAGCAAACACTGCAGCAGACGACAAACATTGCAGCCCTTGGCAAACAAAAAGCACGCAGCAAACAGCGTGGTCAGCGAAAAGACCCTCCCCTCCCCGGGGATCAGACAGTGCAAGGCCATCCCCGGGATGACCTGCACCCACCCGGCTGCCTGTGTGACCAGCCACAGAACCCACTCTGCATTAGCACCCACGGCCAGGACAGGCAGGGTGCTGCGCCCGTGGCTTCCTGCATCTGCCGACACCACCCGAGGCTGCCAGGCCACAACATGAAGTCAGCTGTGCCAGGAAATCCCAAGCCTCGCCCACACCTGGCCCCGGGCTGTTGCTGCATGCCAAGGGGTTGCCCACCTGGCTGTGGCTGCCTTACCCCATGGAATCCAGGCTCCAACTGACCTCACCATTCTGTGGGTTAATTTTCATTCTTAAAACCTTCATCTAAAGACCTTTGCTTCCTGGAACACAGGCCTGGGTTTTCCCAACAGTCGTGGGCACCCGGCCTGGCACGTGCTGCTCAGTGGAGGGACCTCACAGCCCGTTCTATGTGAGCTGTGCAGGAAAAGCTCCACGGACAAACTCACTCTCCGTGACAATCAGGAGGTTTCTTCTCCAACCACAAGAAGGAGCTGGGGGAGCTCGTGAGGCCAGGAAGAGAACAGTCCTAATCCCATCCTTCCCCTCCTCAGCAGTGACCCCAGGGTCTGCTGTCCTGCCCCAACCCACACTTCAAAGAAGGAAGGACACCTGCCTTCCCCTGCTACCTCACACCCCGAAGCATGGGGAGCATGGGGACCCTTGGCAGAGTCCTTTTGTAGTGAAGAATAACAGACTAGTGTAAAATAGCAGAAAAGAAGCTAATGGCCAAACACATCCAAGCTGGGGAAAACACCTGTTAAATATAATGACAGAATATGCTCTCATCAAAACCCAGGAAACTTTAAGAATACACTAAACCTCACAAAATGGGGGCGAAATACAATGATGACCACACGTATGAGAAATGGTCAATGGTAGAATTGAAAGAAATGCAAGGGAAATGAAAGATAAGGGGTCCTTTCCAAGCAAAGTGGCAACGCCACAACAGCTCGCAGTCAGTCTTGGCGGGACAAGAATGCTGGGCAGTGCTGGTTTGCAGGGAGGGGTCAACTTTTCTGGAAGCAGCCCAGCAAAGTGCCCCACGAGCCATCAATTATTCCTGTGCTTCGCAGCCACAGCCCACGAATGCAGGTGCAGCCACAGAAGCGCTGGCAGAGGGGAGGCTGAGAGTGGCGCTGGTTGAAGATTTCTCACAGGAAACAAAAGGCACAGCCTCCACGTGGCTCATGGCCATGAAAACCCTTGACTCAAAACTTTCCACGTCGTGAGGAAGACGCGGGTCAGCTGCCCTAGTTGGGTGATGATGATGCTGTCAGGGAAAGCGTCTGTGCCTATGTGGGGAGAGTAGGGGAGTGAGAAACAAAGCAAAGCGTGGTGGCTCTGTGGCTCCAGTGCCCCGGAGGCCACGGCTCACTTTTTCACAATGAACATGGGCTATTTTCATTTTTTAAAGTCTACTAATGTTTCTAAGGAGACCATACAGAACCGAAAATTCTGAATAACCTTGTCTTCCATAAGGCAGACTTTTCATTTCTGTCACCTTTCCGGAAGGGCTGGACACAGAGTCTGTGGGTCTGTGATGGAGGCGCCACCATCTCACCCCGAGTCCACGGCCCTCAGTCTCTGTGCTCCCCGAGCCGAAGGTGAGGAATCCATGCCTTATGGTTGGCGAGGGCTGCTGGGGCACCTGCCATCTCATCTGCATCCTGGGAAGCAGGAAGGAGCACAGAGGAAAACACAAGCCTGCTCTGGCCAGCTCAGTGTGCTCCTTCCAGAAACAGGTAAACACAAAATTACCCTGCGAAGCCGCCATTCCATTCCTAGGTCTATCCCCAAAAGAAATCAAAGCAGGGACTCAAATACTTGCACAGCCCTTGCCACGACCTGGATGTAGTCAGTGCATCTGTTCCCAGCAAAACTCTTGTTGAAACGGGACCCCCAGTGTGGCAGCGTAGGGAGGTGGGGCCTGAGGGGAGGGAGACGTGTGGGTCGTGGGAGTGACTCCCTGGGGAGTCCGTGGTGCTGGGAGTGATTCTCCTCTTGTGATACAGGGTGAGTTCCCATGGGAATGGATTTGTTCCCATGAGTGGGGCTTGTTCTGAAGCCAAGACATCCCTGAGCTTTATCTCTCTTCCCGTGTCTGCTTCCCCTTTGACCTCCTCCAGCAGAAGCCAGGGCCATGCCATTGAACTTCTCAGCCAGCAGAACTGTGAGCTTGATGAATTACCCCATCACAGAGGTTCTTTTATGGCTACACAGAATGGACTCAGACACCCATGCTCACAGCCGTGCAGTCACAATAGCCCAAAGGTGGAAACAACCCAGCAGGTGAGGGGATCTGAAATGGGGTAGACAAACACATCGGGGTCTTACGGAGCCTGGAAAAGGAGTGTGCTCTGACGCCTGCAGCAACGCCACCAACCTTCACAGCCTCGTGCCGAGTGAAGCCAGCCAGTCACAATAGGACCAATGCTGTGACCCCACAGATGGAAGGCCCCCAGAGGAGTCAGATTCAAGAGGAAGATGGCAGAATGGCAGTCAGCAGGGCCAGTGACAGAGGCCGATGGGAGTGAGTGATTAGTCAGGACGGAGCTCCAGTTTCGCGCGATGAAAAGGTGCTGGAGCTGCATGGTGGCGACAGTGGCACAGCCACGTGCAGGTTCCCAATGCCACGGAACTGTGCACTTACCATGGGGATGGTGGGAACTCTCATGTACCCGCATTTGACCAGAGAGGAAGGAAGGAAGGGAGGGGGGAGGGAGGAGGGAGGGAGGTAGCAGAGAAGGAAGGAAGGAAGGGAAGGGGGAGGGAGGAGGGAGGAGGCAGGGAGGGAAGAAGGAAGGAAGTGAGGGAGGGAGGAAGGGAGAGAGGGATGGAGGGAGGGAAGAAGGAAGGAAGGACGGACCAGCCTGTTAGGCTGACTGACAGAGTACCCCCTGTCCTCCAATGCTGCCCACGGCAGGCATGTGGCAGTGGCTGACAGGGAGTGAGTCTGGAAGCGACCCTTGTCGGGGCAGCCTCCTTGGTCCTGTGATTCAAGACAGGGTGAAAGTCAGTGGCGGCCATTGGTGCCTCTGGCCGGGGTTCCTCACAGGGGCCCGCAAGGGGACAGCGAATGGAGCGTGGAGGGTGGAGGGCTCCTTCTCCAGACCGGAGCGATGGGTTCGGGAGCCATTCTGTGCCTGTCTTTGCTGCTGGGCTGAGGAGCTGGATGGCATGCTGGGAGTAGTGGGAGCTGCTGAGGAGTTTGGTCCTGGAGCGAAGAGGCTGAATCCGCATGTCTGGAGTCACCGTGGAGGGCACAGCTAGAGGGAGCAGCAGGGTGTCCCAGGGAGAAGACACCAGGGCTGGAATTAGAGGGACATCAAGGCTGATACTTAGAGGCATCCAATATATGGGGCCTGCCTGATGGGCTGCTCTCAGGTGGGATTTGGGGGGTGTGAGAGGGGTCAGTGCCCAAATGACCATGGGGTCCGTGGCCTGTATGCCCAGTCAGGTGACGACGCCATTCAGAAAGTAGATCTCATGGGGTGCCCGGCTGCTGAGTCTCAGGCCAGATCTGCAGTGAGTGTGCTGCCCCAGGCGTGGAACACTCTGGTGCCATCGGGACCCAAGGCTGAGTGCACCCAAGAGCTGTGGGTCTGAAACAGCGGTCAGAGGTCACTGACATGTGGAGGAGGCCCCTGGAGTGTGGGAGACAGAATCCCCAGGTGTCAGGCTTGGCAGGAGGCTTTGCAGGTGGGGAGGAAGGGCAGGTAGCGTGGCTGCCGGAGGAGGGAGGGCACTGGTAGGAGGAGGGTGGCCTGTCCCGGGCAGACCAGCCTCTTTGGGCTGTGTGGCCCCAGCTCCCTGAGCCCAGAGGGAGGTGAGGGTGAGAAGGCCTGGACCAGGCAGGACGCAGCCCCCAGGGCCCCTGCTGGGAAGAGGTCAGAACCTCCCAAGGACCCAGAAGGCCAGGTAACTGAGAACGGGGCTGCTCTCTGAATCTCCAGGGAGGACAAAGGCGGCCATGGCAGCAAGGGGACAGGGCAGAGGGAAAGGCCGGCAGGTGGATGTTGGAAGCCGCAGATTCCCATCCAGTATCCTAGAGGAGGAGACCCAGGGCTGTGTCCTAGGAGGCCCAGGAAGCCTGGTCAGCCTGGAGGCTGAGGGCGGGCCCGGGAGATCTGGTAAGGACATCAGTGTCTCCACGAAGAGCAGCAGGGTCTCAGCCCATGGCAGCCGCAGGCCCCATGACTGGGGCCGCAGCCTCCAGAGCCGCCACAGCAGCCCGTTGTTCTGGGGGGTCAAAGGTGGAGGCTGTCAGAGGGGCAGTGCAGGGGGCTGCTGGGGTGAAGCCCCCTGTAGCAGCAGCACCCAGCCTGCTGTGGCTCTGCCCTCCTGGACCCCCTGCCCTCCTGGACCCCCTGTCCTCCTGGACCCTCTGCCCTCCTAGACCCCCTGCCCTCCAGGACCCCCTGCCCTCCTGGACCCCCTGTCTGTGGCCCCTGCTCCTCTCCTCCTTCCCCGACACATGACTGGACCCCCCGATCTGCAGCCGGGGTCTGGGCACTGGGGGTCCTGTGGACCTCTCGGTGTCTGGGGACAATCACAGGTTCCCGTGCCCACACCCAGCCTCTGCTTCCAGAACACACTAGAGGGTCCCGGCATCCTGATGAGTCCACTGTCCCCGCGATGGTTTTCAGGGATGGAGAAGGCTCCCTGTCCTCCGCTGGAACCCTGCAGCCGGGCTGACGGTACCCCCACCACCCACCCAGGGGCCCCAGACCCTCCCCATCTCCACCGCCAACCCAGGCCCCGGCTGCGCACGCGGGGCCAGGCCGTGAGCTGCTGTCCCCGGATGGGGCCGCCCCGGGCTGGCCTGGCTCACTCCGTGTCACAGATATTCCCACAGAGACCCCAGCGAGACCTGCAGAACATTACAGCAGAATGAAGGAGAGCCAGAGGAAGAGGCAGATGTGCTGGCCTGTAAACAGTCTGATTTCCAATGTAAACCAGATTCAGGCCCACGACATCAGGTAAACATCTGCATCAGAGCCCCCGGCCCCCCACCGCCCGGGAGGCCCCGGGGTCCACACGGCCGACTCTGGGACCCGTCACAGTGACCGCCGAGACATTTCGTAATTAGGCAAAATTGATCCTTGCATTCCTTCCCTAAATCCCAAATCTCTGCAATTTTACTTCTTCTCAAAAATGAAAACATTTGGCAATTAGCTGATCCAAGTGAAAAAGGTAGAGAATGTGCTCTCAACTGGAAAATGCCAATTAAGGAAGCAGCTCTGACTTCCCACCCGCCCTGGCTAAGCTGGGAGCTTATCTTCCCCGAGAAGAATCTGCTGGGATAAGGGGGCTTGGGAAACACCGAGGGCAGGGCTGCCTCCTCAGCTTCCTCTGAGAGCAGATTAGCCGTGGCCTTGTGCCAGCAGGGCCTGGGTGCCACACAGGGTGGCAGGGGTGGCAGAGCCGGGCCCGGCTCTGGTACTGGGATTTGGGGTGGCGGGACCCAGTGGGGCACCCGCTTGTGGGCGGCACTGAGGGCGGTGACGTAGGCAGCGGGTGCCGGTGTCTGCCCCTCCATCTGGCCGGGCTCCCCACCCTGCTCCTGCAGCCCTGGACCTCAGGGCCCATTTGCGGTGCAAGGCGGCTCTTGGCCATTTTGCCCGCAGGGCCCTACCTTGGGTCTTGGGAGCTTCTGTCCCTTGCCCTCTCTTGTCCAGGTCAGCATCTCCCACTGTGGGAATCCTATGTGGCCCCATCGTCTGGACAGTGTGGGTCAGGTCACTGTGGCTGTTTTGTGATGCGTGTGTGGGCTCATCCCTCAGTGCTCAGAAGCTGCAGACACTATGGAACCGCTTTTCAGGCCCCGTGGCCGTCACCCCCGCTCTAGAGACTTGATTGCAGGGACCATGCCCGGCCGGCCTAACTGCACCCCTCACTCCAGGTGGGTGGGGGGACCCAGGCCTGCTGGCCCCTGTGGTGGTGCAGCCCAGAAGGTGTGAATCAGTTTACACTGTTCAGTGCCTGAATAAAAGTCACAGGACAAAGAGGACTTGGTTGCACAAACTACTGACATGAAATTCACATTTTGTCCTGAAGGAAACGCAAGATGAATTGAACTCATGTTCAGTTTTTATTTCTCATTTCTCCCGCCTCAGTCTCTTCTCACGTGCACGACCTCACAGCGCTGTCACAAGGCCTGCTGGGCACACGCAGCTCATAGAGAAGTGATGGCTTCCTCCTTGCCCCCTCACCTCCCTCCTTCCCCTCTCCCCCTCACTTCGGAGCACGCAGGCTGATTGTGGAGACATCTCCCAGCCAGGATGTGTCAACAGGGAATGTGCTGGGGACAGCGGGAGTTCACAGCCACCCCCGCAGGCGCCTTCCTGGAGCACGTCCACAGGCCATGTGCAGCTGCATCCCCCACGACGGCAGGGACAAGTTCCTTCCATAGGGCCCGGGTGGCCCCCAGAGCTGCACCATTTATGATCCGGTCCTTTGCAGAACGCAAGGGACAGACACATGAACCCTGACCTAGGTTCTTGTGCAGAAATGTTCTCTCATCGGAATAGAAAGGTATGAGTCTCAGGACTGGTTCTCTGCAAAGCAGCCATCGGCCTTTCAAGCAGAAACCATGGAGCCCCCAGAGGCTGAGTCTTCCAAGGCGCTGGGAGACTTGGCGTTTGCCTCTTTTTTAAATGCAATGACCGTTGCAGTGCATGGAATCAGAGACATGTATCTATGCGTAGAAATGAGTCTGTAAACACGATCAAGGTGTGATTTCTGTATGACAATGCAGTTGGATCAGAAATTGGAGAGTGCTGGCCGGGCGCGGCGGCTCACGCCTGTAATCCCAGCACTTTGGGAGGCCGAGGCGGATGGATCACTTGAGGTCAGGAGTTCGAGACCAGCCTGGGCAACATGGTGAAACCCCATCTCTACTGAAAACACAGAAATTAGCCGGGTGTGGTGGCGTGTGCCTGTAGTCCCAGCTACTCGGGAGGCTGACGTGGGAGGATCACTTGAGCCCAGGAGGCAGAGGCTGCAGTGAGTAGAGATAGCACCACTGAACTCCAGCCTGGGCAACAGACTGAGACTCCATCTCAAAAAAATAAATAAATAAATAAATAAATAAGAAAGAAAAGAAGAAATAGTGGAGTGCTGTGGTCACTCTGGAAAAAGAGGAGGGACCCCACCCAAATGTGGTTCCTCCGTCAACCCTGAAGACGCCCCCACACACCGGGACGAGATGAAAGGGTCTGGTACTTACCTAGCTGGGCTTTCACGGGGTGCACGGTGGCTTCAGGAAGGGAGCTGGCGTGGGGCTCTTCTTATGCCTCGGGGGTGGGGTGATGGCCTCACATGGGCAGGAGCCTGCAGGGCTTGAGCCTCTCACTGGCACCAAAGACACCTGCCCTGCTGTGGGGCACACGGGAAGAGGGATGGGTGAGGTGTCAAAGCAGTGAGCCGTCAAACATCATAAAAACGGAGTCAGGCTCTTTATTGCAGGAAACAATTTGCGGCTTTCTGTGCAGAGAGCAGGGGGGATTTGAGGTGGGCTTTGTAGAGTGAGGGAGTTCACCAGATTGACAGTGTGGGCTGGGTCACCCTGTGCAAAGCAGCGATTTCCATGTTGCCCCTGAGAGAATGTTTTCCTGTGATCTCCAGCATCGAGATTTAAAAATTATCATGTTCATAGTCTGATGATAAAACATTAATTTTTAGGAAGGCAGAGGACCTGCCTGCTTTTCCTGATAAGACCTCGTTCCATTGCCCTAGGTCAGGCATGGATTATTAACTCTCAGGGTTTTGGGGGACCAGCAGCCACAGATGTGGAGTCCTGGGGAAAGGGTGACAGCCTCCTCTGCCTCCGGGGATTTGTCCTTCAGTGACTTGACGCCCGCAAGAGTGGATGCTAATTCTCACCGTCCCCATGAAATCCCTGCTGACGCATGCTGCCCAGGAGACATCTCCACAATCAGCCTGCCTGCTGGAGAGAGGAAGGAGGGAAGCGAGGGTGCAAGGAGGAAGCCAGCCCTTCTCTGTGAGCTGCATGTGCCCAGCATGCCTCATGACAGCCCTGTGAGGTGAGAGGAGACTAAGGCGGGAGAAATGAGAAGCTTGCCCGAGTCACGCAACCGAAGCACAGAGCCAGGGTCTGGCGCCCTGAGAGGTCCTGGGTGCATTGGATGCTGTGCACGTACTTCAGCAAAGAGGCAGGATGTTGTCATCTTCCTTCGGAGCCAGTAACATTTTCTGCTGCCAGCAAGGAAAGAACATTGGATCACGCGCCTCCATGCAGGCAGGGTCCTTCAGTGGCGCTGATCCTGAGCCCAGCCCTCTCGTGGTCTGTGCTGACGCCAGGGCCTCTCGTTGGAAGGCCTCGTGCTCCACAGTTCCCCCACAAAGGGGAGGATGCTGAACTCTTTACCTGTAATTCTGGCCTCGAAGCAGCTGTTTTCTGCCTGGCTTCTCACCCCAGCCATGCACAGTGGAGGTGTCAGCAAATCCCTGGAGAGAAAGCCCGGTGGACACAGGGTTCCTTTCTCTGAGGCTCCCTTTCCCTGGGATCACAGTAGCTGAGTCGGGGTCTCCAGAGAAACAGAACTGGGGGTAGGGGGGTGCATAAAGTGAGAAGGAGATTTATTATAAGGCGGGGACTCATGGGGTAATGGAGGCTGCAAGTCCAGCATCTGCAGTGTGGGCAGTGTGGGTAGTGTGGGCAGTGTGGGTAGTGTGGGCAGTGTGGGTAGTGTGGGCAGTGTGGGTAGTGTGGGTAATGTGGATAGTGTGGGTAGTGTGGGCAGTGTGGGTAGTGTGGGCAGTGTGGGTAGTGTGGATAGTGTGGATAGTGTGGGTAGTGTGGGTAGTGTGGGTAGTGTGGATAGTGTGGGTAGTGTGGGTAGTGTGGATAGTGTGGGTAGTGTGGGCAGTGTGGGTAGTGTGGATAGTGTGGGCAGTGTGGGTAGTGTGGGTGGTGTGGGCAGTGTGGATGGTGTGGGTAGTGTGGGTAACATGGGCAGTGTGGGTAGTGTGGGTAGTGTGGATAGTGTGGGTAGTGTGGGTAGTGTGGATAGTGTGGGTGGTGTGGGTACTGTGGGTAGCGTGGATAGTGTGGGCAGTGTGGGTAACGTGGGCAGTGCGGGCAGTGTGGGTAGTGTGGATAGTGTGGGTAGTGTGGATAGTGTGGGCAGTGTGGGTAATGTGGGCAGTGTGGGTAGTGTGGGTAGTGTGGATAGAGTGGGTGGTGTGGGTAGTGTGGATAGTGTAGGTAGTGTGGGTAGTGTGGGCAGTGTGGGCAGTGCAGGCAGTGTGGGTTGGCCAGCTGCAGACCCAGCAGAGTCCGTGGAGCGGATGAAGTCCCAAGGCCGTCCGCTGGAGAATCTCTCTTGCTCAGGAAGGCTGGCTTTCTGCTGTATTCAAGACTTTAACTGATCGGAAGAGGCCACCCACATTACAGAAGGCAACATGCTTCACCCAAAGTTCATCCATTTAAAAGTTAACCTCAGGCTGGGCGCAGTGGCTCATGCCTGTAATCCCAACACTTTGGGAGGCCGAGGCAGGCGGGTCACCTGAGGTCAGGAGTTTGAGACCAGCCTGGCCAACATGGGGAAATCCCGTCTCTACTAAAAATACAAAAAATTAGCCGGGCATGGTGGCACACACCTGTGATACCAGCTACTCGGGAGGCTGAGGCAGGAGAATCGGTTGAACCCAGAAGGTAGAGGTGGAGGCTGCAGTGAGCCGAGATCACACCACTGCACTCCAGCCTGGGGAACAGAGCCAGACTCCGTCTCAAAAAAAATAAATAAATGAAGTTAATGTCCTCTAAATACACTTTCCAAATTGACACATAAAATTAATCATCATAAGAGAGCTGACATTCATTTTTTAATATTCAAAATAGGATCTTGCAACAAGACAGTCAGCTGGAAAGCTAGGCTTGTCGAGAGAGGCAGACAGAGAGAAAGAGAGAAACAGAGAGAAAGACAGAGAGGACTTGCTAAGTTCCTTCATCCTATCCAGAAGCAAACCCGGGAGACTTCGCCCATAGCTGCTGTGAGCGTTCGTGGGCAAATGCTTTCATTTCTCTTGCTAAATACCTAGGTGTAGAATTGGTCATATGGAAAGCGTGGACCTCACCGTTTAAGAACCCACCAAACTGTTTTTCAAAGCGGTTGCGTCGTTTAAAATCCCCTCCTCATACTGTATATTTTGTTCTGCTGACCCGTTTGTCTCTCTTGACACCAATCCCCTTCTGTCTCCATGACTGTAGCCTCACGGCGAGTCTTGAAATCACAGATCTTTGGTCCTCCAACTGTTTTCTCTTTTTCAAGATTCTTTTGGTTATTCTAGGTCCTCTGCATGTCCTTATATTTTTTATAATCAACATGGGAATTTCTCTTAAGAGAAAAGAAGCGCTTCTGGGATTCTGATTGCAATGGTACTGAATTCATTAACCCATTTGGGAAGACGTGGCATCCCGTCAATATCAAGAGTTTGACCCGTGAACGTGGTGCGCACCTCCATTTATTTCATTCACCTTGACTTTCTCCCAGCCGTGCTCTTAGCATATCTCGTACATCTTTTGTGAGATTTATTCGTAAGGATTCATGTTCTCTCTGTAATTTTAAATGGCATTTGAGTTCAATTTCTGCTGTAATACAGAAATGCAATTGATTTTTAGTGGCCTCATGAAGATAAAACTCATATCACACACTTCACCCACTTCAAGTACACAATTCGGTGGTTTTTCATATATTCGCAGAGTTGTCCAGCCGTCACCATGCTCTAACCACCATCACAATGTAATTCTAGAACATTTTTATCACCTCAAAGAAGCCATACCCATCAGCAGTCACTCCCTACTCCTCCCGCTGAGCTTCTCCGCTGGCCTTGGCCACCACTGATCTCTCCTCCCTCTCTGCGGCTTTGCCTCTGCTGAATACAAATCGGGTTCTGCTATGTTCATCCTTCTGTGTCTGGCCTCTTTCACTTAGCGCAAGGTTTCAAGGTTCATGCACGTCATGGTGACCAGAACTTCATTTCTTTTTATAGCTGAGAAATACCCCATTGTGTGGCTAGTCTGCGTTTTGTGAAACCATTTATTGGTGCTGGGACACATGGGCTGCTCCCTCCATGTGGCTATTAGAACAATGCCATGGTGGACATTTGTGCACATGTTTTTGTGTGGACACGTTTTCATTTTTCTTGGGTGGAGTAGAATTGCTAAATCATAGGATACATCTATGTTTAACATTTTGAGGAACTGCCAAACTGTTCTCCAAGGCGATTAAATCATGTTGTGTTCCCGCCAACAACATAGGAGTGTTCGAACTTATCCACGTCCTCACTAACACGGATTATCGGCCTCACTGACGCTGTTCCAGAGACAGTGTGGAATGATGCCTCACTGTGAGTGTGTTTTGTGCTTCCCTAATGAGTAGTGACATGCCACACCTTTTCCTGTGCTATTTGCCATTTGTATCTCTTCTTTGGAGACATGTCTATCATTTTTTAAATGGGGTTAATTATCCCTTTATTACTGACTACTGATTTTGTATACTGATCTTATAGCCTACTATTTTGCTTAAGTCACTCATTAGTTCTAGTAGCTTTCTAGAAGATTCTGTTAGATTTTCTACAGGGATGGCCATGACCCTGTCTTACTTCTTCCTCTGCAATCTATGTTTTGTTTTGTTTTGTTTTCCTTTCCGTGCCTCATTGCACCAACTAGAATAGAGACGCTTTGAGTAGGCACTGCTGCTGGTTCCTTCTCTTGGGGGAAAGCGGGCAATCTTCTGCTAGGAAGCAAGATGCCTGCTGCATCTGCTTCGGAGACGCCCCTTTATCAGACTGGGAACATTCCCTTGTGCTCTCATTTGGCTTGAGTTTTTATTATAAATGCATAACGGATATCAGATTTTTTTCTGTGTCTATGGAGATGATCATATGGCTTTTCTTTTTTAGCTTGTGAATGTGGTGAAATGCACTGATCTTTCAAATATTCAGTTGATCTTGCGTTACTGGGATAAACTCCACGTTGTCATCATGTATTATTATTGTACATATTACTGTATCCAGTTTGCTAAATGTTTGCCTCTATGTTCATGAGGGGTATTGGCCTGTAGTTCTCTTGTGATATCTTTGTTTGGTTTTGGTATCAGGATAAGCCTCGTAGAATGTGTTAGGAAATGTTCTCTGGTCTTCGGTTTCCTGGAAAAAGTTGTACAGAGTCAGGATTCTCTATTTGTTGACTGCTGGGTGAAATTTACCAGTGAAACAATTTGACCTGTCATTTCCTTTGTCGGAAGGTTTTTGAACTACAAGTTTAATTTTCTTAACAAATACAGGGCTCTTTGGTTTATCTATTTTTTTAGTGACTTTAATAATTCGTGTCTTTCAAAAAAATGTATCCATCACATCTGAGTTGTCAGATTTATTGACCTGAATGTTCTGAATAGTCCCTTTCATCCTTTTACATATTTATAGAATCTCCTTCTTTCCCAATCTTGCTAATTTGTGCAGTCTCTCTCTTTAGTGATTAGACAGGGGAAAGATTAATCAATTTTATGGATTTTCTGAAATCATGTGTGCAGAGCAGCCACGGGATAGCACGGCCTCTGCACGCTGTGGGGTGTTCATCAGCTGGACAGGCAGCTGCCACCTGGACAGAGTGAAACCCACCGCCTGAGTTCTGGAGTAATTGTCCCAAGGAGGACCTTTCCACTCTGGGTTGTCCTGGAAAGAGGCTGCTCCTCGTCTAGGAAGTGAGGTCCTGGGCAAAGACCTCAGTGGGAGGGAGGAGACATGATCTTCCTGAGTCTCAGCCCCAAGGCACCAGCCTGGATCCCTCGGTGTGCTGCCCAGAGCTCGTCAGGCACTGATGAGGATTGAGAGGAGGGCAGGGGGGAGCACCCACGTACGACAGGACACACACACACACACACACATTCCCCTCCTGAGACATTTGCATCCAGGGAACATGCAGGCAATTCCTTGTTTGTGCAACTAAAACTCCAGAGTCCCCCAAAGTGAAAACAGCAGGCGGCTCCGAAGTGAACTGCAACTACCACCTCTTCCGAGACAGAAAACGCTCAGTACTGGGAGGACAGGGTTTCCAGATTTTTCTTCCCCAAGTAGGTTCCAAAAATACCAAGGCACTGAGTTTCAGCCAGGGCACGCCTCGCACCTGGCCTGGTCCCGGGGATCAGGATGCACTCTCCGCACGGAGCCCTCTTCTTGGTGGCCTCTGCGGCCTCTGCAACGGAGCTTGTCCTGGGACAACAAAGGTCTTAATCTGGCAGCTCCTCAAATGACCAGCCCTGGGAAGGGAACATGGTCATGAAAATAATAAGAAAGAAAAAGGACTACAGCAAAACAGAAAACCTGATTTAAGACAGCAGGACTTTTGAATCCTGATACAACAGGTTATCAGAAGAACGAATAAATTAAACTTACCAATTAAAAGACACAAGAGTATGGATGGAGTTAAACGATGTTACCCGCGAGAGACACAGAATAGTTGACAATAACAGGAAGGGAAAATGCAAGCCAATTGTATGTGGACTGAAAGAAGGCTACAAAAGGATTAAAACATTAAGCCACAATGCAGCTTTCTGACAGTCAAATGATCAACATACAGAAATATATTTTCCAACCACAGGGCAAAAAAAAAATTAGAAATTAAGTCACAAAAGGGATAGTGCAAATATTGTATGTTTGGAAACCAAATAGTCTATTACCATAAATTTGGGGTTAAAGAGATAATCATAATTATTAAAAAGTAATAAAAACATTGCACATTAGAAGGACGGGGCAGAGTGAAGCAGCTGTTACTGAGAGGTGTACGGTACTAAATACATTTCTCACAAATTATGAAATTGGATGTCTACGCAGATGTTTTGCCTGTTTCTAACGGAGCTGTTTTTGTCATTAATTTTTTAGTTCCTTTTCCATTCTGGGTTCAATCTTTCATCAGTGATATGGTTTGCAAATACATCCTCCAGATCTGCGACTTATCTTCCGATTTCTTGTTAGTGTCTTTTGAAGCACACATTTGAAAAAAATTCGATGAAGTTCACCCTATCAATGTTTTATTTTACGATCTTATTTTTGATGTCATGGCTAAGGAATTGCACCTGGCCCACAGCTTCCTTGACTTTCTCCCATGTTTTCTACAAGTTTTAGTTCCCGGTTTTCATGTAACCCTCTTTGTGTTAATTCTTGTGGAGGACATGAGATAGGGTTCCAAACTTCTTTCTCATGTGGCTATCCAGATGTCCCAGCACTATTTGTGGAAAAGACTGTCTGTCCCCCGACTGAGTTCTGTTTGTTGCCTTTGTCAAAAATCAATTGACAATCTACATAAAACGTTTTTTTTTTTTCCTGGACTTTTGATCCTGTTTCATTGATCTGTGTGGCTACAGTGAAACCAATACGAGACTGTCTTTGTTACTAAATTTTGTTCTTTTAAAAAATTGTTTTATCCATACCGGGTCCTTTAAGTTATTTTTGTCATGAAGTTTTTAGCTCTTTTTTCTATTCTGGATACAATCTTTTATCAGTTATATGATTTGTCAATATTTTATCCTAATCGGTGGCTTTCCTTTCATTTTCATTTGTAAATATTAGGATCAATTTGTCAAATTTTGCACAAATGCCTGCTGGATTTTGACAGGGATTATATTGGATTTACAAATTGCCATGTTAACGTGATTGTGCCTCTGGCCCATGAACACGGGCGGCCTCCCCAGTTGCTCATGTTTTCTTTAATTCCTCTCAGCAGGATTTGGGGGTTTTAGCATTTAACTCTTATACTTCTTTGGTTACGTATATGCTTCTGTATTTTATTCTATTATTATTTAAAATTTTCTTAATTTCATTTTCAGATTGTCTATTACTAATGTATAGAAATTCAGTGGATTTTTGTGTATTGATACTACACTCTGCACCTTTGCTGGATTTTTTATTAGTTCTAACAGGAGTGTTTGTGTTTATTCTGCTTAGGGCTCTCCAAAATTCTCAAATATGTGATTTTTTTTGTCTTTGACTAGCTTTGGGAGACTCTCAGCCACCATCTCTCCAAGTAGCTTTTCTTCCACGATTTCTTCTTTCCTCTTAGGATCATAAGTGGACATTCACTAGAGTGTGTTGAAGTGTTTTAAAGGTCTTGGATGCTTGATTTAGTTCTCTCTCTTTGTCTTTTTTCTCTTTGTGTTCATTTTGGATGACTTCTACTCACCTGTCTCCCAGTTTATGGATTCTTTCCTTAGTTCTTTCCAGTGTGTTAATTAGCCTATGATAAGAATGTTGATATTGTTGGTGGGGGGGCGGTGGTGGAGAGGCTATTTCCATTTGACTTTTGTTTTTTTTGAGACAGGGCCACGCTCTGTTGCCCAGGCAGGAGTGCAGTGGTTCGATCACAGCTCACTGCAGCCTCTAACTCCTGGGCTCAAGAGATCCTCCTGCCTCAGCCTCCAAAGTAGCTGGGACTATAATCCCAGCACTTTGGGAGGCCAAGGTGGGTGGATCACCTGAGGTCAGGAGTTCAAGACCAGCCTGACCAACATGGTGAAACCCCGTCTCTACTAAAAATACAAAACATAGTTGGGCATGGTGGCACACGCCTGTAATCCCAGTACTGGGGAGTCTGAGGCAGGAGAATCACTCGAACATGGGAGGCAGAGGTTGCAGTGAGCCAAGATCACACCACTGCACTCCAGCCTGGGCAACAGTGTGGGACTCCATCTCAAAAATAAATAAATAAAAACAGTGTTCTAGTTTTTTTCAGTTTTCATTTATCTGTTGAAATTCCTCACCTGTTAATGCATATTGACTAAACATACCCATCACAGTTATTTTTATTTATTTATTTGTTTTTTTGAGATGGAGTCTAGCTCTGTCACCCAGGCTGGAGTACAGTGATGTAATCTCAGCTCACTGCAAGCTCTGCCTCCCGGGTTCGAGCGATTCTCCTGCCTCAGCCTCCCGAGTAACTGGGACCACAGGCACCTGCCACCATGCCCAGCTAATTTTTGTATTTTTAGTAGAGATGGGGTTTCACCTTGTTGGCCAGGCTGGTCTCGAACTCCTGACCTCATGATCCGCTCACCTCGGCCTCCCAGAGTGCTGGGATTGCAGGAGTGAGTCACCGCACCTGGCCTGTGAGTTATTTTAAAGTCCCTGTGCAACAGTGTCAACATTGGAGTCATCTCAAAGTTGGATTCTATTAATTGTTTTATCACATGGCCATGGTTCATTTTACCTTCCTTCCTTGCTATCTCATAAATTTTAATTGAATTTCAGACACTGTGTCCAGAGAATAATAGAGACGGAGGCAGGTAGCCTTTATGCCCCAGATGGCTTTGGATCCCCTTCTTCTGGGTATGAATGTGGGATCTGTGCCAGCCTGGGCCATGGGTGGGCCGGGTCAGGGTGAGGTGTGGCCGCCATTACCTCAGGGCGTCAGAGACTGCGAGGCCTCCTAGGCAAGCTCACCCTTACCTGGTGCTGAAGCCTGGGGCTGGGGACCAGGGAGGATTTTCTTTTTTCTTTTTTTGAGACAGAGTTTTGTTCTGTCGCCCAGGATGGAGTGCAGTGGCGTGATCTCAGCTCACTGCAAGCTCCACCTCCCGGGTTCATGCCATCCTCCTGTCTCAGCCTCCCAAGTAGGTGGGACTACAGGCGTGTATCACCACGCTGGGCTAATTTTTTTGTATTTTTATTAGAGATGGGGTTTTGCCACGTTGGCCAGGCTGGTTTCGAACTCCTGACCTCGTGATCTGCCCGCCTTGGCCTCCCAAAGTGCTGGGATTACAGGTGTGAGCCACCACGCCCGGCCCCAGGGAGGGTTTCCTCAGTGCCCCTACAGCTCCATTGCAGCAGGCCCTTCATGCCTGAACCACAGAGGTGGTTTTCTCCATGTTCTTGCCCCTTCGTTCATTTTACGCAACAGATATCTATTGAGCAACTGCCATGTGCCAGACACTGAGCTCAAGTATGGTTTATTCTAGCGAGGCAGGAAGAGCAGTGGGTCTATTTATGTGATTCTGGAAATTCACAAAGGATGAAACCTATGACTACTCAAGTATTAGCTGCAAAAGCTGGTAAAGTTCAACAAAGTTCGAAAGCTTGCTATGGTTCAGCATTCGTTTATGTTAGAAAAAAAGAAAAACTTGAAAAGCTATTAATATCTAACTTCTGAAGAATATCCCTCGGGAAGTGATATTAAAAGTCACATAGAAACATTAGGAGAAGCAGCTACTACCTGTCTTATTAAACATTGTTTTGAATGATAGCATTGGGACACACTAAAAACTAAATACAGTTCAAAATATTTAAAAGGAAGAAATGAAACAACTAGAACAAAAGCTGAGTAAAGATACAACATTATAAATCAACGGATTTTCTAGACACTATGTAGAGAAAATACCACATGACAACATTTCCCATTTATAATTTTAAAATTATAGAATTCTATGGGCAGCCGGGCACAGTGGCTCACACCTGTAATCCCAGTACTTTGGGAGGCTGAGGAGGCCAGGTCACTTGAGGTCAAGAGTTCGAAACCACCCTGGCCAACATGGCGAAACCCAGTCTCTACTAAAAATACAAAAACTTAGCTCGGCATGGTGGCTCATGCCTATAATCCCAACTGCTTGGGAGGCTGAGGCAGGGGAATCACTTGAACCCAGGAGGCGGAGGTTGCAATGTGCCAAGATTACACCATTGCACTCCAGCCTGGGCAATGAGAGTGAAACCCCATCTCAAAAAAAAAAAAAAAAAAAGCCTCCTACCCATAAGATGTAAATAAATGGAGAGATATAACAGGCTTCTTGATTGAGAACACTTACAACTTCAGGTCTCTAAAAATCAACCTATGGATTTAATTATATTCCAATTAAAATAAATAATTACTTTTATCTTGCCAAGTTTTCTCTAAAATTCTCATCAAAATGTATAGGCAAGTGTAGCCATTAAATTTTGGGGGGATGTCTTTATAATTTTTTTAAATTTTTATAGCCATTAAAAATTTAAAAGCAAAATATAAAGGAAGAAGAATGAGTGGTGATTTCCCAGACAGCTATCAGAACAGACTATAAAGCTACAGTTATTAAAACAGCACTGCCTTGCTTCTGGATTACATAAATTGAAGGAGGAAGTGGAGCCGGGCCCTGGCAGCCTTCTCAGTGTAACTCAGGACCCCGTGGACGGGGTGTCTGAGCCAGCAGGAAGAGACAGGGCCTGCTGCAGAGGACGTAACAACAGAACCACGCACCTGCAGCAAGGCAGTCCCATCTCCGTCTCAGCTGAGACACAGAGCAACCACCCAGCTAGGCAGTCCCATCTCAGCTGGAGCACATCCACGAGGAATCCAAATGCACACAAAAAAATAAAAGTACAAAATTCCTGGAAGGACATGTGGGGAATGTATTCCCGATATTGGGGGGGCCTTAAAGCATGGCGCGAAACACAAGCATTGTTAACGGAGTGTCTGGGAGATTTCACTGTTTCAAAAGGAAACACTTCTTTATTGAAAATCACAGTAAAAAAATGACATAGTACAGATTCAGAGAAAATGTTTCTTACAAATATAACAATAAAAATTAATATCTCTGATATCCAAATTGATTATACAAATCAATAGCAGCTCAGTAGAAAAATGGACTAAACGTATGAATATTAATTCTCACACTTTTTATGGAATAATGTTTAGAAAAAGAAAAACTTTAAAATTCACAGAGGGGCTAAGTTTTAGGGAATAGTTTTGAGTGTCATCTATATAGTTTTTCTCAATAAATATATTAATGTAGTAAATTACATTGAGTGCTTTTATATTTTAATTTAGTTTTTCCTAAATTGATCTAGATAGATTTTTTATCAAAAATACCAGGAATACATATTAATCAACACACCAAAATATCAAAAATATTTTTTATTAGATAAATTGATTCTAAAATGTGTACAAAGGGGCAAAGGAACTAGAATAGCTAAATGATAAAAGAAGAAGAAAGGAAGAATCGTGCCCCTCAATGTTAAGAGTTACTCAAAAGCTCCCGTAATCAAGAGTGTCACCGTGGGTGTGGGCACAGCAGCTCATGCATGTAATCCTAGCACTTTGGGAGCCTGAGGAAGGAGGATCTCTTGAGGCTAGAGTTCTAGACCTGCCTGGGCTACATAGTGAGACCTCATCTCTAAAATTAAAAAAAAAAAAATTAATTAAAATTAAAAAAATAGAAAATTGAAAAAGAGAGTGTCACCCCAGGGAAGAGAGAGAGTGGAGGTAAAGGGGCGTGCAGACCCCCAGGATCACGGCCACCTGGCCTCCCACAAGGGACCAAGAGCCGTCAATGCCAGAAGAGCCGCTTTCCCAACAAGCCATGCTAGAGCAGACTCATGGGTTCAAAAATGGCCGTAGACCTACACGTTCATATGAAAATTAACTCAAACTGGGGCTGGGCACAGTGGCTCATGCCTGTAATCCCAGCACTTTGGGAGGCCGAGGCTGGCAGATCACTTGAGATCGGGAGTTCGAAACCAGCCTGGCCAACATGGTGAAACCCTGTCTCTATGAAAAATACAAAAATTAGCTGGGCGTGGTGGCAGGCACCTGTAATCCCAGCTACTTGGGAGGCTGAGGCAGGAGAATCGCTTGAACCCAGGAGGCAGAGGTTGCAGTGAGCCAAGATCATGCCACTGCACTCCAGTCTGGGCAACAGAGAGAGACTCGTCTCGAAATAAATAAATACATTAATAAACAAAAATTATCCAGGCGTGGTGGCAGGCACCTGTAATCCCAGCTACTTGGGAGGCTGAGACATGAGAATCATTTAAACCTGGGGGTTGGAGGTCGCAGTGAGCCAAGATCACGCCACTGAACTCCAGCCTGGGAGACAGAGTAAGACTCCGTCCCCCCCCAAAAAAAAAAAAAAAGTAAAAATAAAGGAAATTAACTCAAATTGGATCAAAAACAATAACACTTTTAGAATAGAAGAAAGTGTCCAGGACCTGGGGCTTGGCAAGGACTTCCTAGATATAACATCAAAAGCATGATTCATATATATTTTAAATCAATGAATTAGATCTCATTGAAATTAAAAACTTTTATGCCGTGAAAGATCCTGTTAGGATGGATGAAAAGATAAGCTGTGGGCTGGGAGAAAATGTTTGCAAAACCCATGTCTGACAAAGGACTCGTATCTAGAATATAAGAAGAACTCTCAAAACTCAACGGAACAGGGCCAAATAATCCAATGAAAGAAGGATCATGGAGACAAGGTGGAGATGGCAGATGAAGTCACAAAACGGCCTTCAACCCGCGTGGCCCCAGGGAAACACAGGCTGGGACCATGACCCAATATTTCTCCGTACCTATTAGAACAGCTAACGCAAAATATAATAACAAGACCAAATGCTGGCAGAGATTCGGAGAAACGGTATGACATTCACTGCGTGTGGAATGTAACATGGCGCACCCACCATGGAAAAGAGTTTGACAGTTTCTTAAAAAAGCGAAACAGACTCTGACCATTTGACCCAGCAGTCACACTCCTGGGCATTTGTCCCAGAGAAAGAAAGATTTATGTTCACACAAACACCTATACGTGATTGCTCATGGCAGCGCTATTTGTAATAGTCAAAAGCTTCAGTAGGTGAATGGTAAACAAAGAGGTCCTTTCCTACCAGGGGAGGCTACTTATCAGTAAAAAGGAACTAACTGTTGACACAGGAAGCAGCTTAGATGGTCTCAAGGGCATGTTCCTGAGTGAAGAGCTCATCTGAAAGGGTCCCACGCATTCCATTTACATCACATTTGCAAAATGACAAATTTATAGCCATAGGAAAAGGCCAGAGGGTGTGAGGAGGAAGGAACGGGGACATGGGCAGTGAGTCTCTGGGATGAGGCAGCCCCGGAGATGGCCGTGGCAGTGGGACAGCTCTGTGTCCTGTTCCTGGTGGTGTGTACACAAATTCCCACATCCTACAACATGGCAAAAACCCAGATACACACACTGTAGCACGGTCAGCTTCCTGGCTTAGACACGCACTCCAGCTAAGGGAGACGAAGCCGTTGGGAAAACTGGTTGAGGGGCATGTGGAAATCTCTGTACTAGTTTTGAGACTTCCTGTGAATCTGTAATGATTTCAAAATAAAATCTTTAAAAGAAATCACGAGCTTGATAAAGAGAATATACATTGTATGCTGCCTTTTGAATAAAAAAAAAATTAGACATGCAGGTATTCCGTTATTGTTGCAAACAGAAACCACGGGAAGAAGGAGACAGAACTCATGGACTCGGTGAGTGGAGAACAGAAAGTTTGAGCGTCTGAGGTTACTTAACGATTTCACATTTAAAAATTATTTAAATTAAGTAAAAAAGGATACAGAACACATAAATGGAACACAAGAAAACAAACAAATGGGCATTTTCAACGCATAAATGTTTAGGAGTGGAGACCGACCAAGAGCCGCCTTGCACCGCAAATGGGCCCTGAGGTCCAGGGCTGCAGGAGCAGGGTGGGGAGCCCGGCCAGATGGAGGGGCAGACACCGGCACCCGCTGCCTACGTCACCGCCCTCAGTGCTGCCCACAAGCGGGTGCCCCACTGGGTCCCGCCACCCCAAATCCCAGTGCCGGAGCGGGGCCCGGCTCTGCCACCCGCTGCCACCCGGTGTGGCACCCAGGCCCTGCTGGCACAAGGCCACGGCTAATCTGCTCTCAGAGGAAGCTGAGGAGGTGAGGAGGCAGCCCTGCCCTCGGTGTTTCCCAAGCCCCCTTATCCCAGCAGATTCTTCTCGGGGAAGATAAGCTCCCAGCTTAGCCAGGGCGGGTGGGAAGTCAGAGCTGCTTCCTTAATTGGCATTTTCCAGTTGAGAGCACATTCTCTACCTTTTTCACTTGGATCAGCTAATTGCCAAATGTTTTCATTTTTGAGAAGAAGTAAAATTGCAGAGATTTGGGATTTAGGGAAGGAATGCAAGGATCAATTTTGCCTAATTACGAAATGTCTCGGCGGTCACTGTGACGGGTCCCAGAGTCGGCCGTGTGGACCCCGGGGCCTCCCGGGCGGTGGGGGGCCGGGGGCTCTGATGCAGATGTTTACCTGATGTCGTGGGCCTGAATCTGGTTTACATTGGAAATCAGACTGTTTACAGGCCAGCACATCTGCCTCTTCCTCTGGCTCTCCTTCATTCTGCTGTAATGTTCTGCAGGTCTCGCTGGGGTCTCTGTGGGAATATCTGTGACACGGAGTGAGCCAGGCCAGCCCGGGGCGGCCCCATCCGGGGACAGCAGCTCACGGCCTGGCCCCGCGTGCGCAGCCGGGGCCTGGGTTGGCGGTGGAGATGGGGAGGGTCTGGGGGCCCCTGGGTGGGTGGTGGGGGTACCGTCAGCCCGGCTGCAGGGTTCCAGCGGAGGACAGGGAGCCTTCTCCATCCCTGAAAACCATCGCGGGGACAGTGGACTCATCAGGATGCCGGGACCCTCTAGTGTGTTCTGGAAGCAGAGGCTGGGTGTGGGCACGGGAACCTGTGATTGTCCCCAGACACCGAGAGGCCCACAGGACCCCCAGTGCCCAGACCCCGGCTGCAGATCGGGGGGTCCAGTCATGTGTCGGGGAAGGAGGAGGGGAGCAGGGGCCACAGACAGGGGGTCCAGGAGGGCAGGGGGTCCAGGAGGGCAGAGGACCCAGGACAGCAAAGGGTCCGGGAGGGCAGAGGATCCAGGAGGACAGGGGGTCCAGGAGGGCAGGGGGTCCAGGAGGGCCCAGGAGGGCAGGGGGTCCAGGAGGACAGGGGGTCCTGGAGGGCAGGGGGTCCAGGAGGGCAGGGGGTCCAGGAGGGCAGAGGGTCCAGGAGGGCAGAGGGTCCAGGAGGGCCCAGGAGGGCAGGGGGTCCAGGAGGACAGGGGGTCCTGGAGGGCAGGGGGTCCAGGAGGGCAGGGGGTCCAGGAGGGCAGAGGGTCCAGGAGGGCCCAGGAGGGCAGGGGGTCCAGGAGGACAGGGGGTCCTGGAGGGCAGGGGGTCCCGGAGGGCAGAGGGTCCTGGAGGGCAGGGGGTCCCGGAGGGCAGAGGGTCCTGGAGGGCAGGGGGTCCAGGAGGGCAGGGGGTCCAGGAGGGCAGAGGGTCCTGGAGGGCAGGGGGTCCAGGAGGGCAGGGGGTCCAGGAGGGCCCAGGAGGGAAGGGGGTCCAGGAGGACAGGGGGTCCAGGAGGGCAGAGCCACAGCAGGCTGGGTGCTGCTGCTACAGGGGGCTTCACCCCAGCAGCCCCCTGCACTGCCCCTCTGACAGCCTCCACCTTTGACCCCCCAGAACAATGGGCTGCTGTGGCGGCTCTGGAGGCTGCGGCCCCAGTCATGGGGCCTGCGGCTGCCATGGGCTGAGACCCTGCTGCTCTTCGTGGAGACACTGATGTCCTTACCAGATCTCCCGGGCCCGCCCTCAGCCTCCAGGCTGACCAGGCTTCCTGGGCCTCCTAGGACACAGCCCTGGGTCTCCTCCTCTAGGATACTGGATGGGAATCTGCGGCTTCCAACATCCACCTGCCCGCCTTCCCCTCTGCCCTGTCCCCTTGCTGCCATGGCCGCCTTTGTCCTCCCTGGAGATTCAGAGAGCAGCCCCGTTCTCAGTTACCTGGCCTTCTGGGTCCTTGGGAGGTTCTGACCTCTTCCCAGCAGGGGCCCTGGGGGCTGCGTCCTGCCTGGTCCAGGCCTTCTCACCCTCACCTCCCTCTGGGCTCAGGGAGCTGGGGCCACACAGCCCAGAGAGGCTGGTCTGCCCAGGACAGGCCACCCTCCTCCTGCTCCCAGGAGTGCCTGCAGCCCTGTCAGTTTCCAAGAGTGTCTCCTTCAAGCAGCCTCGTCAGGTCGAGCCACCCCCAGTGCCCTCTCTCCTCTGGCAGCCGCGCTCCCTGCCCTTCCTCCCCACCTGCTCAGTCCTGCAAAGCCTCCTGCCTAGCTGGACACCTGGGGGTTCTGTATCCCACACTCCAGGGGCCTCCTTCACATGTCGGTGACCTCTGACACTCCAGGGGCCTCCTTCACATGTCGGTGACCTCTGACCGCTGTTTCAGACCCACAGCTCCTGGGTGCACTCAGCCTTGGGTCCCGATGGCACCAGAGTGTTCCACGCCTGGGGCAGCGCACTCATTGCAGATCTGGCCTGAGACTCAGCAGCCGGGCACCCCATGAGATCTACTTTCTGAATGGCGTCGTCACCTGACTGGGCATACAGGCCACGGACCCCATGGTCATTTGGGCACTGACCCCTCTCACACCCCCCAAATCCCACCTGAGAGCAGCCCATCAGGCAGGCCCCATATATTGGATGCCTCTAAGTATCAGCCTTGATGTCCCTCTAATTCCAGCCCTGGTGTCTTCTCCCTGGGACACCCTGCTGCTCCCTCTAGCTGTGCCCTCCACGGTGACTCCAGACATGCGGATTCAGCCTCTTCGCTCCAGGACCAAACTCCTCAGCAGCTCCCACTACTCCCAGCATGCCATCCAGCTCCTCAGCCCAGCAGCAAAGACAGGCACAGAATGGCTCCCGAACCCATCGCTCCGGTCCGGAGAAGGAGCCCTCCACCCTCCACGCTCCATTCGCTGTCCCCTTGCGGGCCCCTGTGAGGAACCCCAGCCAGAGGCACCAATGGCCGCCACTGACTTTCACCCTGTCCTGAATCACAGGACCAAGGAGGCTGCCCCGACAAGGGTCGCTTCCAGACTCACTCCCTGTCAGCCACTGCCACATGCCTGCCGTGGGCAGCATTGGAGGACAGGGGGTACTCTGTCAGTCAGCCTAACAGGCTGGTCCGTCCTTCCTTCCTTCCTTCCTTCTTCCCTCCCTCACTTCCTTCCTTCTTCCCTCCCTGCCTCCCTCCCTTCCTTCTCTGCTCCCTCCCTCCCTCCTCCCTCCCCCTCCTTCCCTGCCTCCCTCCTCCCTCCTTCTCTGCCTCCTTCCTCCCCCTTCCCTTCCTTCCTTCCTTCTCTGCTCCCCCCCTCCCTCTTTCCCTCCCTCCCTCTTTCCCTCCCTTCCTCCTCCCTCCTCCTCCCTCCCTCCCTTCCTTCCTTCTTTCTTTCCTTCCTTCCTTCCTGCTTCTCTCCCTTCCTCCCTCCCTCACTTCCTTCCTTCCTTCTTCCCTCCCTGCCTCCCTCCCTTCCTTCTCTGCTCCCTCCCTCCCCCCTTCCCTGCCTCCCTCTTCCCTCCTTCTTTGCCTCCTCCCTCCCCCTTCCCTTCCTTCCTTCCTTCTCTGCTACCTCCCTCCCTCCTCCCTCCCCCCTCCCTTCCTTCCTTCCTCTCTGGTCAAATGCGGGTACATGAGAGTTCCCACCATCCCCATGGTAAGTGCACAGTTCCGTGGCATTGGGAACCTGCACGTGGCTGTGCCACTGTCGCCACCATGCAGCTCCAGCACCTTTTCATCGCGCGAAACTGGAGCTCCGTCCTGACTAATCACTCACTCCCATCGGCCTCTGTCACTGGCCCTGCTGACTACCATTCTGCCATCTTCCTCTTGAATCTGACTCCTCTGGGGGCCTTCCATCTGTGGGGTCACAGCATTGGTCCTATTGTGACTGGCTGGCTTCACTCGGCACGAGGCTGTGAAGGTTGGTGGCGTTGCTGCAGGCGTCAGAGCACACTCCTTTTCCAGGCTCCGTAAGACCCCGATGTGTTTGTCTACCCCATTTCAGATCCCCTCACCTGCTGGGTTGTTTCCACCTTTGGGCTATTGTGACTGCACGGCTGTGAGCATGGGTGTCTGAGTCCATTCTGTGTAGCCATAAAAGAACCTCTGTGATGGGGTAATTCATCAAGCTCACAGTTCTGCTGGCTGAGAAGTTCAATGGCATGGCCCTGGCTTCTGCTGGAGGAGGTCAAAGGGGAAGCAGACACGGGAAGAGAGATAAAGCTCAGGGATGTCTTGGCTTCAGAACAAGCCCCACTCATGGGAACAAATCCATTCCCATGGGAACTCACCCTGTATCACAAGAGGAGAATCACTCCCAGCACCACGGACTCCCCAGGGAGTCACTCCCACGACCCACACGTCTCCCTCCCCTCAGGCCCCACCTCCCTACGCTGCCACACTGGGGGTCCCGTTTCAACAAGAGTTTTGCTGGGAACAGATGCACTGACTACATCCAGGTCGTGGTAAGGGCTGTGCAAGTATTTGAGTCCCTGCTTTGATTTCTTTTGGGGATAGACCTAGGAATGGAATGGCGGCTTCGCAGGGTAATTTTGTGTTTACCTGTTTCTGGAAGGAGCACACTGAGCTGGCCAGAGCAGGCTTGTGTTTTCCTCTGTGCTCCTTCCTGCTTCCCAGGATGCAGATGAGATGGCAGGTGCCCCAGCAGCCCTCGCCAACCATAAGGCATGGATTCCTCACCTTCGGCTCGGGGAGCACAGAGACTGAGGGCCGTGGACTCGGGGTGAGATGGTGGCACCTCCATCACAGACCCACAGTCTCTGTGTCCAGCCCTTCCGGAAAGATGACAGAAATGAAAAGTCTGCCTTATGGAAGACAAGGTTATTCAGAATTTTCGGTTCTGTATGGTCTCCTTAGAAACATTAGCAGACTTTAAAAAATGAAAATAGCCCATGTTCATTGTGAAAAAGTGAGCCATGGCCTCCGGGGCACCGGAGCCACAGAGCCACCACGCTTTGCTTTTGTTTCTCACTCCCCTACTCTCCCCACATAGGCACCGACGCTTTCCCTGACAGCATCATCATCACCCAACTAGGGCAGCTGACCCGCGTCTTCCTCACGACGTGGAATGGTTTGAGTCAAGGGTTTTCATGGCCATGAGCCACGTGGAGGCTGTGCCTTTTGTTTCCTGTGAGAAATCTTCAACCAGCGCCACTCTCAGCCTCCCCTCTGCCAGCGCTTCTGTGGCTGCACCTGCATTCGTGGGCTGTGGCTGCGAAGCACAGGAATAATTGATGGCTCTGGGGCACTTTGCTGGGCTGCTTCCAGAAAAGTTGACCCCTCCCTGCAAACCAGCACTGCCCAGCATTCTTGTCCCGCCAAGCCTGACTGTGAGCTGTTGTGACGTTGCCACTTTGCTCGGAAAGGACCCCTTACCTTTTATTTCCCTTGCATTTCTTTCAATTCTACCATTGACCATTTCTCATACGTGTGGTCATCATTGTATTTCGCCCCCATTTTGTGAGGTTTAGTGTATTCTTAAAGTTTCCTGGGTTTTGATGAGAGCATATTCTGTCATTATATTTAACAGGTGTTTTCCCCAGCTTGGATGTGTTTGGCCATTAGCTTCTTTTCTGCTATTTTACACTAGTCTGTTATTCTTCACTACAAAAGGACTCTGCCGAGGGTCCCCATGCTCCCCATGCTTCGGGGTGTGAGGTAGCAGGGGAAGGCAGGTGTCCTTCCTTCTTTGAAGTGCGGGTTGGGGCAGGACAGCAGACCCTGGGGTCACTGCTGAGGAGGGGAAGGATGGGATTAGGACTGTTCTCTTCCTGGCCTCATGAGCTCCCCCAGCTCCTTCTGGTGGTTGGAGAAGAAACCTCCTGATTGTCACGGAGAGTGAGTTTGTCCGTGGAGCTTTTCCTGCACGGCTCACATAGAACGGGCTGTGAGGTCCCTCCACTGAGCAGCACGTGCCAGGCCGGGTGCCCACGACTGTTGGGAAAACCCAGGCCTGTATTCCAGGAAGCAAAGGTCTTTAGATGAAGGTTTTAAGAATGAAAATTAACCCACAGAATGGTGAGGTCAGTTGGAGCCTGGATTCCATGGGGTAAGACAGCCACAGCCAGGTGGGCATCCTGCTCCTTCCCTTTCCCCTGTCCCTGCCCACCGGCCATGCCCTAGAGTAGGGGCACACTCGGACCCCAGCCCAGCGCCCACCCATGCTGCCTGCAGGCCTGCGAGGTCCCACAACCCCTTGGCATGCAGCGACAGCCCGGGGCCAGGTGTGGGTGAGGCTTGGGATTTCCTGGCACAGCTGACTTCATGTTGTGGCCTGGCAGCCTCGGGTGGTGTCGGCAGATGCAGGAAGCCACGGGCGCAGCTCCCTGCCTGTCCCGGCCGTGGGTGCTAATGCAGAGTGGGTTCTGTGGCTGGTCACACAGGCAGCCGGGTGGGTGCAGGTCATCCCGGGGATGGCCTTGCACTGTCTGATCCCCGGGGAGGGGAGGGTCTTTTCGCTGACCACGCTGTTTGCTGCGTGCTTTTTGTTTGCCAAGGGCTGCAATGTTTGTCGTCTGCCGCAGTGTTTGCTGCCGGGTGAAGAATCGCTGGCCCTGTGTTGTCACCTGGGCCCACCGTGACAAGGTCCCCACCTCTGTTGTGGGACTCGGGGGCAAAGTTCCCTGCTGTTCACGCTGCAAGTGACAAGGGCCTTGGTCTCTGAACCAGGAGCCTCTGAGTCCTGCCCCACAGGGCTGAGCCCTGGCTGGGAGCAATGTTCTTTGGGGGAGACAGCAGCTTCCTCACTTCCATGTACAGCCAGATGCCACGGGATGTGGGGAGTGCGACAGGGCCGTGGGGAGTGTGACAAGGCCTTGGGGAGTGTGACAGGGCTGTGGGGAGTGTGACAGGGCCTTGGGGAGTTTGACAGGGCCGTGGGGAGTGTGACAGAGCCGTGGGGAGTGGGACAAGGCCGTGGGGAGTGGGACAGGGCCGTGGGGAATGGGACAGGGCCGTGGGGAGTGTGACAGGGCCATGGGGAGTTTGACAGGGCCGTGGGGAGTGGGACAGGGCTGTGGGGAGTGCGACAGGTCTGTGGCGAGTGTGACAGGGCTGTGGGGAGTGCGACAGGGCTGTGGGGAGTTTTGAAAGGGCCATGGGGAGTTTTGACAGGGCTGTGCGGAGTGTGACAGGGCTGTGCGGAGTGTGACAGGGATGTGGGGAGTGCGACAGGGCTGTGGGGAGTGTGACAGGGCTGTGGGGAGTGTGACAGGGCTGTGGGAAGTGCGACAGGTCTGTGGCGAGTGTGACAGAGCTGTGGGGAGTGCAACAGGTCTGTGGCGAGTGTGACAGAGCTGTGGGGAGTTTTGACACGTCTGTGGGGAGTGCAACAGGGCTGTGGGGAGTGTGACAGGGCTGTGGGGAGTGCGACAGGGCTGTGGGGAATGTGACGGGGCTGTGTGGGAGCAGGTGGTCCTGTGGGGCATCCCGGGGTCTGTGCTCAGGCTGTGGGAGGTGGGGCTGGCAGGGGATCCTGGAGAAACACCTTTGGGGGCTCAGGTTTGGTGGAGCTCCCACTTCCACAGTGGCTCTGAGTGGGGCCTGAGCAGGTTTTCCTGGCAGTGGCTGAGGGTGGGTGGGCCTGGTAGGTACTGGGCTGCTCAGAAGCCAGCCAGCTCCATGTTGCCCACCTCAGCCTCCCAGGCTTCTCAGGGCCCAGCTGTGCTCTGTCCCTGGGGCCCTTCCCTCCCCGGACACTGCTCACCCCTGGCAAGGGCTCTGCCCTGGGACACACCCTGCTAGACCCTCAGATCTGATCCCAGCCCTTCCCATGTGACTCCCTGGGTGCTCCCAGATGACTGGGATGTGGGGAAGGATCAAAGAGCACTTTGGTTGTCTCTGTAACTCTTCTAGTGATTAGATAAGGGCTGGATTTAAGGATTACTTCTGCAATGCAAATAGATGAAAGGAACAAGCTAAATAACAAACTCTTCCCATTCCCAGAACAAAGTCAGCTCTGGCCTGGTTCCACGTGCCCTGTCCAGCACGTCCCCCAAGCGCAGGCATGGGCCCCCGGACCAGCCGCGGACCCCTCCTCGCGCTTTGCAACGCCTCACAGCTGGCCCCGCACCCCTGGGGCAGGACCACTCCCTCTTCTTATTCTTCTCTGTGTCACCTTCCCAGACTCTGCACATAGTCGGCGCTACATAAATGGTGGCTGCAAAAAGGAGACGAGCAGCAGAGCAATGCCCCAGGGAACAAGAGGGGCGCTGTTGCCAAGGCCAGGGCCAGGGTATCTGCCCTGAGGCCTGAGCCCCACACGACCCAGGGCTCCAGAGCCCCATGGCCCATCTCACTGCTGGGGCTGAACCCCCAGGGCCCCTGCAGCCACTGCCTCAGGAGGTCAGGTTGGGGTGTGGAGTAGGAGGGACGGGTGTTTCCAGGGAATCCCTGTGTAGGTGGGATCCAGAGGGCTTGAAACCCTCAAGCTACCAGCCAGCTCCACGCCTAGGACAGGCCTTATTAGAGTTCAGGATCTGCCAGCTCCCAGGGGCAGCCTCAATGTCCGGGGTGGATGGGGGTTTCTGTGGGTTCACTTCTGCCCCCAGCTGGGATGCCTGGAAGGAGAGCTCAGGGACAGTGTGGCCAGACCCTGACCCAGACAGAAGATTCTGTCTGAGAGACCGGGGACCTTCACAGAGGGACAGAGGCCCAGGAAGCAGCGGCTGCTGCTGTAAGCCTACGGCGAGAGCCATGGTCACAGAAGACCCACTTGTTGCCAGGCGTTTTGCCTTCACAATGGCAAAGTCTCCCAGTGGCCCAGGAGAAAAGGGAATGCTCATTCCATTCTGCCTGCCAGAAAACAGAGGCTGAGGCCCAGAGGCTCAGGCAACCTCCCCAGGTTCACCTCATTTGGAAACAGCCCCTTCCCATCCCCGGTTGCTGCCGCAATCTTCTAAGGGGACTTCCTCAGAGGTCATTAAATGCATTGAAAACTGGTTCTGGTCCTCGACCCTAAGCTGCTGGAGGAGGGGGTGTGGGAGCAGATTCGGGGTGCACCTGTGTGTTCAGGTGAAGGCGGAGGGAAATTAGTCATGGAGCTAAGCTGAACCACCTGCTGGGCCCCAGGCAGGCAAGGCCCTGTGGGCAGGTGGGAAGCCAGAGGCCGCCTCTCACCCCGGGGAGGGGCAGGGGCTGGAGTGACGGTGCAGGGTGAGATTTTGGCCAGGCACAACTCCATCCATCCCTGCATCCCCAGGAAGCCACAGACACCCAGGTTCTGAGAGCCCGGCTCTCGAATGTCCCTCCTCCCCCGACCTCCTTCGGTGCCCCTGGCCATGCCAGCCCTGAGCATGAAGCCTTCAACTTTCCCACGCACCCACTTCCACTCTCCAGGGCTGAGGAGCAGGAAGGAGATGGCTTGGAGGGGTGAGCCCCTGTCCTGTTCTCAGAGGGTCACAGCTACTCACTACCTGCTACGAAGACAGGGAAGGGTGGGAGCCGTTCTAAACCAGCATCAGTGCATGCCACAAAATAGAAGCCGTGCATTACAAACTAGAAACGAGGGCTTGGTTGCAGGCACCTTCCCTAGAGACCCTGGCTGAGCAGAGGCTGGGGTCTGGCTGCGCTGCTCTGACGGTGTGCACGGGCGGGCTAGGCACTCGCCCTGAGTCCCAGAAAGAGGAGCCCACAGATACAAAACTTAAAGGATGTGTTATTTTATTTTTTAATTTAATTTTTGTTTTTTCAAAAGCATCAAAGTCATTGTGATTGGAAGGAATGCGCAAGTTGGTCTGGGGTGCTGTCCCTGGGCGCCGAACCAGCCGGGGACATGGCCCCTGGAGAGCTGCCGACCCCGGGGCTAGGGGAGTGGTCTTGCGAGGAGCCTTTGCTTCCCACTCGCCGGCCGCCCCGCGGGGCCCTCCTGCCACCAGGTGGCGCTTCTCGGCCAGCCCGGGCCGCAGGACCTGCAGTCTCGTTTCCCCAGGAATGGCGACGGCCCTGTTATTCCCATCACAATTTTACAGGTCAGAAAAGGAGACTCGGAGTGCATATATAGCAACTTGGAGAAAGTCGCAAGGGACGAAGGACCCTTCCCCGGACACAGGAACCTTCTGGGGGATGGGGACAGGGACTCAGGTGCAGAGAAAACCAGAGCTGCTACCGTGGGGACAGAAAGGGAGTCTACCCAGAGACAGCAGAGGCAGGAGCTGCCCCCCCTCTTTGCCCCCAGTGGCCCCGAGCGAGGGGTTGCCACCACCTAGAGCCTGGGGACCAGGGGCCAGTGCCTGGGGACGGAGGCCGTGGTCGAGACAGGCGAGGGATGTGGCGGAGACAGGGAGGCCCAGGTCGGCTGGCACAGGGCAAGGAGCAGGCGAGCCGACCCCAGGGCCTTGCCCTTGTCACGCCCCCTGCCATGTTCCTGCTGGCCCCCTTCCTGTTCTGTGAGGTCAACACGCAGGAGAAAGGGGCAGAAGGGAAGGTCTCCCCACACCGAGGGCTCTGCCCGCTTGGGCCAGGGGTTGGGGGGTGGTCATGGCACCAGGGCTGCTCTGAGCTACAGCCCCGAGGGGGGGCCGGGCGATGCCTCCTCCTCCGTGCCAGCCTGTGCCGGGGCCCCTAGGAACCCCCAAGTCCCTGCCTGTGACCTCTGCAGAGCCCAGCAGGCGCCTCCCCGCCCTCGGCCACAGGCTCGGAGCTCACGGCCCCCAGGGGGCGCTCAAGGACTGCTCATCTGCGCTTCTGCCGCGGGCAGCTCTGACCCCTCCCGCTGCGCTCCTCCAGCCGCATCCCTGCAGCCTTGGGCCCTACTGGCCCGGGGGAGGAGGCACTGCGCTTTGGGGAGGAAGAGAGACTAAAGGGGAGACCGAGAACCCCGGGTCAGGAAGCGGAGAGCTAAAACGACAACCGTGGGTCAGCGGAGGCCGGCAACTTCATTTCATGACCTCTGGCCTCCAAAGCAGCTCTGCAAAGTGGTCAATGCTCCTCTCGTTGTGTAGATGAAGATACTGAGGGCCAGGGAGGCTGTGGACTGCCTGATGTCACACGACTGGTGGGGCGGCGGGCGGGTCTGTCCCCAGGCGATTGTCCTCGAGGCACACGGCGGGGCAGAGCTTGGAAGCGGCCGAGGTGGGGGTCCCTGGGTGTGGATGTAGTGACCCCGGAGCCACGTGGAGCCACCTTCAGACCCAGAGCTGAAGCAGGAGGGTGACCGGTAGAGCAAGGCCGTGCACACCCCCGTTGCAGAATTGAAAACGCGCCTCAAAATAAAACCCCGTGTTTCACAAGAATGCACTAATTCCCGAAGATATCCGGGCGCACGGGATGCAGTGGGGATTGGAGATGCAGGGGCCATGCAAGTGAGAAGGACCCTGCTCAGCGTGAGGCTCTGATGGTCTTGAATTC